>NC_000002.12:23721876-23873391 GCF_000001405.40 Homo sapiens | reverse complement strand
TCATTCCCCTGTAGATACTAAGGGATGACTGTATATGTTTATAGGTATTGTTATATTAACTTTTCAATTGATTTACCATTTTTGGTTCTCTTTATTTTTTATGCATTCAGTTTACTATCTGAAGTCATTTTCTTAGACCAATACAACTTTTCTCCCACCAACTTCCTTCTGTGCTATTATTGGCAAATTTATTACATTTCTATATGTTATAGGCCCAATACACACATAAACTTGGGAACTTTCCTGATGGGGAGAAAGAAGTAGAGGAGAGGATAAATATCAAAATTGCAAAGAATAAGTAGATAATTTTTGCAACTATCTTCCTGAAGAGTTGGGAAGTATCAAAAATTGATGTAGGGCCTCCCCAGCCCGCTGCCATGGCCACCTACAAACTGGTGTTGATCTGGCCCAGTGAGAGCACCTGGAACCTGGAGAACTGCTTCAGCGACTGGTACAATGCCAATGTGAGCCCGGCGGGCCATAAGGAGATGAAGAGTGGCAGGCAGGCAGGCACTGTGAGATGGCTGGCTATGAGTTTGACATCTGCTTCACCTCAGTGCAGAAGAGAGCAATCTGGACCCTCTGGACAGTGCTAGATGCCATTGATCAGATGTGGTTGCCTGTAGTGAGGACTTGGTGCCTCAGTGAGCAGCACTATGGGGGTCTGACTGATCTCAGTAAAGCAGAAACTGCTGCAAAGCATGGTGAGGCCCAGGTGAAGATCTGGAGGCTCTCCTATGATGTTCCACCACCTCCGATGGAGCCTGACCATCCTTTCTACAGCAACATTAGTAAGGATCGCAGGCATGCAGACCTCACGGAGGATCAGCTACCCTCCTGTGAGAGTCTGAAGGACTCTCAAAGCCAGAGCTCTGCCGTTTTGGAATGAAGAAATAGCTCACCTGGTAAAAGAGGGGAAATGGGTGCTGATTGCAGTGCATGGCAACAGCCTCTGGGGCATTGTGAAACATTTGGATGGTCTCTCTGAAGAGGCTGTCATGGAGCTGAACCTGCCGACTAGTATTCCCATTGTCTATGAATTTGACAAGAACTTGAAGACCATCAGGTGCATGCAGTTCCTGGGGGATGAAGAGACTGTGCGTAAAGCCGTGGAAGCTGTGGCTTCCTGCTCTTAGCTATGATCGTGTCACTTCACTCCAGCCTGGGTTGACAGAGTGAGACCTTCTATCTAAAAACAAAAATAAAAACAGAAACAGGCTGGGCATGGTGGCTCATGCCTGTAATCCCAGCAGTTTGGGAGGCCGAGATGGGCGAATCATGAGGTCAGGAGTTCAAGACCAGTCTGGCCAACATAGTGAAACCCTGTCTCTACTAAAAATACAAAAATTAGCTGGGCGTGTTGGTGTGCACCTGTAATCCCAGCTACTTGGGAACTTGAGGCAGGAGAATCGCGTGAACCCAGGAGACAGTGGTTGCAGTGAGTCGAGATTGCGCCATTGCACTCTAGCCGGGGTGACCGTGCGAGATTCTGTCTCAAAAAAAAAGAAAAACAAACCCAAAAACAATTCCTTCTTCCCTCACAAAAATGGATGCAGAAGTTAATGAAAGGATTCCGATTAGTAGAGAAGGAGTAGGAGGTGGGTTAAGGATCTTAAGGAGAAGTTGAGAAAATCTGGGTTGCTAATGGGACATGTGGGCATTGGAGTGGAGTACTGATGCACAGATTTTGGGACATCTTTGAAGGCTATTTGTGCTTGAAGTAAATTACTGACAATGATTGCAGCTTGTATGGTTGTGTGGATTTTCATTAGTGTGTTCAGTGTTCTACTTTTATTACTTGGATTGGTACAGGGTTGGAATTCAGCAAGTGTAATGGAAGAAAAAGGAGACAGAGTCAGGTAGAAAGATTAAAAACTGAAGTAATAGCTTTTCCTGTGAGGCTTGACAGAAAATTAAGCCACGAAGGGAGTTGACTCTGAGTCAGTGGGTGCTCGGGTATAGTAGGCCTTGATGAGTTGAAAGTTGGTATGTTAGGAGGTTATGTTCAAAAAGTAGGCCATTGAATTTTAAAATTGCAGAGGTGGAGAGCAGTTCACGCGGTAACAAGATCCGAGGTAAGATCATGGCAAATGTTTTTTTTTTAGTAAAGCAGAGCTGAGGGTGGTTAAATGGCTAGGCAGGTGGTAAGCGAAACCTAGGTAGGGGTGGAGAAGAAGACGATATAAGGGATATTTACAGGGAATGTGGCTAGAGCTCAATGGCAGTGATTATGTGGTGGGCAAAAAGGGATTTAGGATGATTTTTGAGGTTTTTTTTTTTTTGCAAATTACTAGTTAGTGGAACTGCTAACTGAATATACAGTTTAAAAGAAGTGGTTGAAGCATTTGATTTGGATATGATGAACTCAATTTGAACACTTCGTGAGCACACAATTTTGTGGTGGTTTTATTATAGTATTTTTTAGGTGTCTTAGCGATGTCATGAGTTATACTAATAATCTGGCATTCATTAAGTATTATTTTTCCTTCGTGATGACTTCAGCCTGGCAAATTACCTAATCTCTCCATAGTAGTTCTGGTTATAAACTATTTTTTTCTTCAAAATATTTTATGTATTTTATAAGAAGTTCAAACAGGATGGAAATATCTTAAGTGAGTTAAAGCCCTTGTCCTCTGTAAACCAGTGTATTATTTTTCCTTTGTTCTTTAAATGTCTGGACTGTGACTATTTGGGAAAGATAAAATTAAAAAAAAAAACCAAACTTTTTTTTTTCTGAGATTCTAATGTTATTTATCAAACAGTGACCGATATTCGCTAAATTTGGATGTAATTTAAATTGGTTGCTGGCCCTGTGCGGTGGCTTATATCTGTAACTCCAGCACTTTGGGAGGCCAAGGTGGGTAGATCACTTGAGCTCAGGAGTTTGAGACCACCTTGGGAAACATGGTGAAACTCCCTCTTTACAAAAAGTACAAAAACTAGCCAGTGTGGTGGCGGGTGCCTCCAGTCTCAGTTACTTGGGGGTTTGAGGCAGGAGGATCGCTTGAGCCCTGGAGGTTGAGGCTGTAGTGAGCCCTGACCTTGCCACCGCACTCCAGCCTGGGTGACAGAGTGAGACACTGTCTCAAAAAAAAAAAAAAAAAAAGTTGGTTACTGACTCCCTTCCTGAATTATTCTTTTAAAAAAAACTTTAGGCTTTCTATTCTCCTTTTTTTTTTTTTTCCGAGAAGGAGTCTTGCTCTGTCACCCAGGCTGGAGTGCACTGGTGCAATCTCAGCTCACTGCAACCTCCGCCTCCCGGGTTCAAGCAATTCTTCTTCCTCAGCCTCCCGAGTAGCTGGGACTACAGGTGCCCACCCCGTGCCTGGCTAATTTTTGTATTTTTAGTAGAGCTGGAGTTTCACCATGTTGGCCAGGCTGGTCTCGAACTCCTGACCTCATGATCCACCCACCTTGACTGCCCAAAGTGCTGGGATTACAGGCCTTTTTTTTTCTTTTTCTCTGCAGAACTTGCTACCTTTATACTTCATGTAAATTGTATGAGGGTAAAAAATCTTAATAAATATTTGCTGAATGAATTTTCTCTGAGCTAATTGTAGATATTACAGTGTGTTTTAAAAAGTTGTTTGCTATTATAATGGTTTTAAGGATTTTACTCTCTTTAAATAGGAGAAAGAAGCATGCCATTCATAGTAGTGACACAACTTCTTCTGATGAGGAACGCTTTGAAAGAAGGAAATCAAAGAGCATGGCAAGAGCAAGAAATAGGTTAGTAAAATTTGTAATGTTATTTCCATGGTAGAAAAAAGGAAAAATAAGTTTTTTTTGAGTGATTTTCTTTGCTAACATTGATATTCAACACATATTTTAGACTAGATTAAGACATTGACTTGGTTTCTACTTAGCTTTTCTTTCAATAAAAATCTAACCTTTCCCCAAAATCATTTAGTCTGAAAGTACTTACGATAAAATAATTTGTGGAGAGGGAAAGTAAGGAGAGCTAAGGGAAACAGGCCAACCTATATGGCAGTGTCTGTCTTTTCCTCTGTACCTCCTTTCTAATCTAAATCCATTTAATGAGGTTGATTTTAGGTACTTATAATGATTACAGTATTATAGCAGTCAGATTAAGACATGGTTTCTAATAGAATTATCTCAGGAAACCTTAGATTTTTATTGGAAAAAATTACTTTGTTTTTGTTGTCAGTTGAACAAGTGCCTCTGGTGATCTTTCCCTAACTAGGGTAACTAACTGATCACTGTTGGGCTCACTAAAACCTCAGAGAATTTTCAGTGGAGGAGTAAATAATTAAAGTGTCAAATTATTATTTATTGTAGAAATACCAAGTTTTCAGTTAGCAGGTCTTGGAAACAAGTTTGGATCAGTTAGATAGTGTACTAAAAAAGAATTTCTCATCTGAATGATGGAAAGAAAATGAGAAAAATCCAAGTTTAAATAAAAGCGTTTAATGCCTATTTAATCCGAACTATTCTGATAATCTACTTTGATAATATATTTTTATAAATTAGGATTCAGAAATATCAATGAAGTTACATTCATTATAGATGCTAGACTTTTTTGAGGCTGTTAATGTCATTGGTGTTTACCCAAGGTTAAAAGAGGAAGTTGACTATATTAATTTACAGAAATTAAATAATGTAGTATATTAAATAATGTGTTAAATAATGTAGTATAGAGATCTCTCTTAAGGTAGTTACACAAAAGATGAAGCTTAGTGTTCAAGATGTGATCTCTGGTTTTTTTTTGAAAAAAATGGAAAGACAATTTTTTCAATCATATAACTGAGTAGACATATTCGTGTAATAGTTGAGGATAGATTTAAATATTATAATAAAGGTTGGGCTGATGGCTTACGCCTGTAATCCCAGCATTTTGGGTGGCTGAGCCTAGGAATTTGAGACCAGCCTAGGCAACATAGTAAGACCTTGTCTGTATAAAAAATCAGCCAGGTGTAGTGTTGCCTGCCTGTAGTTCCAGCTATTTGGAAGGCTGAGGTGGGAGGATCACTTGAGCCCAGGAGGTTGAGGCTGTAGTGAGCTGTGATTGCACCACTGCATTCCATCCTGGGCAACAGAGTGAGATCTTGTCTCAATCAATCAATCAGTAGCTTAATTTTATTTTAATCCCATATATTATAATACATATAGGTTTATTTTTATTTTATAGTTGTATAACATGGGATAATCAGGTATGTTAAGATGTTTTCCTAAAATGGAATAGATTGGGCTCTTCGGGCAAATAGATTAACGATCTTGTTTGCTTTATCTAGTGAGTAACTTAATTTTTGGCCATTGACAAGAATGTAAGAAAAGTAGAGTAAAAGTATGAAATCCTTTGATATTATTTTCTGGGTTATGAGAAAAAGGAGAAAGATGAAGACACATCAAAGAATGTAAACTTATTTTGACATTAAAAATGTGAAACTTTTAATGCAACTTTACTTGCACTTTTATAAATTTCAGATGTTTGCCTATGAACTTCAGAGCAGAGGACTTAGCTAGCGGTATTCTCCGAGAACGAGTGAAAGTGGGTGCAAGCTTGGCTGATGTTGATCCAATGAACATTGATAAATCAGTAAGTTTTGTAAATGTTTTTCTAGAAGTTTTCTTTTTTTTAAAAGTTTTTTTCTTGTTTCTAAAGCAGCACATAGTAGAACTAGAAAATTCGGATATGACAGTGTTAATGTTTCGATGTATATGTTTTGAAACCTAAGAACCCTAGCCACAAGTGGTGCTTAGTCAGATATTTTCATTTCAGTGTTACTGGAATATGTAACAGGTAGGAAATGAGGCTGAGAAGGTTATGAGGGGCAAGGCTTCATAAACCATGATGAACAATGGGCTGTTGTTGAAATTGCCTAGTTTCATGATTTTGTATTTTGGGTAGCTCACTCTGGCTATGATATAGTTAATGAATTTGGGGGAAGCAAGGCTGGCATTAGGGAGACTGGATGTTGCTGTAGTCTAGTAATCTGGAGTAGTGGTCATGGTAGAAACTAGGATAACTTTGAAGAAGTAAATGGGTTTGAAAGAATTGAGGATTGAATTCAGAAATGACAGAATTTGGTGAATTAATTGCTTTTGGGGAACAAGAGAAAGGTACAACTTGAGAGTATTACCCAGGTTTCTAGCTTAGGTGACTAGGTAGATAATGGATGGTCTGGATGGAGAATGGCTTGATTCTCTGAGTAGGGAACATGAGAAGAGGAATAAATGTTTGAGGCAGGAAGATGATTTAATTAGTTGTATTTAACTAATACATGTTTAGGTATCTGAGGTATACTACAAGTGGAAGCACCTTGTAGGTAATGGGTTATTTAGGTTTGGCATTAAGGAGAAATACCTGGACTAGAAATTCAAATACGGGTCATCAATATAAAGAGCGGTGAGGTCACTTTGGAAAATAGATGATCGATCACACCTGGGGAAGATACATAGCACAAAAACAGGCACAAGACTCGGAGGACATGGTAGATTCTTTCTCATTGTTAGTAGTATCTTATTTTGGGGGATATTTTGGAATAAGGTTACTGCATAACCAAGAATTTATTTGACACATTTTTTCTTTTTTCCCAAAAATCTCTCTATACAACATAATTTAAGTGATTTCCATAGAGAGATTTAAAATAAGTTATCAAATAGAATTGCATATATACTTGAAGATGAAATTTTAACTATCTCTAATCTGAAGTCATAGAGGAAAATGCTTATCTTATTTATTAATGGGACCCTAAGAAAATATTAGAGTATTGCATATGAGCAGAATCCCATTTCTAATAGTGCACCTTCTCAGAAGACCTTACCTAATGATCTTTGCTTATTTGGCTTACCAGCACTTTACTCTTTTGAATCTAGTTAATTTCTTTTTTGTCTTTAAAAAATTTTTTTCTTCATTTTTATTTTCCTTTCATTTATTTTCATCTGTCCATTTACAGATGAATCTAGTAAACTTTAGATGTCTCTGCCAAAGTAGACTAAATTCTTTTTCTCTTTTTTTTGTTTTTGAGATGGAGTTTCGCTCTTGTTGCCCAGGCTGGAGTACAATGGCGCAATCTCAGCTTACCGCAACCTCCGCCTCCCGGGTTCAAGCGATTCTCCTGCCTCAGCCTCCCGAGTAGCTGGGATTACAAGCATGCGCCACCACGCCCAGCTAATTTTGTATTTTTTTAGTAGACGGGATTTTTCCATGTTGGTCAAGCTGGTCTCGAACTCCTAAGCTCAGGTGATCCTCCCGCCTTGGCCTCCCAAAATGTTAGGATTACAGGCGTGAGCCACCGTGCCAGGCCACTTATTTCTTTAAAATTTGATACCAAATACAAGAAAATTTAGCTTCTCTTAAAATGTTTCTGTTATTTAACTTGTTTTTATTTTTCTGTTAATAGTTTACTTTCACTTTTTCTATCATAGTAATACTTTCATTGTAAAACATTTTCAAGTACCATAACAGAATGAAGAAGCAGGGAAGAGGCAGTCACAGTTAACACTTTGGGTAAAATTTTCTTAAAGCATTTTTTGTCTGTACACTTTTTTTCTTACAAAGCTTTCTAGCTATTTAAACTATTATGGGTGGGAGGAACAATCTTTGCTGCTTCTTGTGATAGATCAGTGTTTCTAAAATAATTTTTTCATCATTGTCCCATAAAGAAAAAAAAAAGTAAATTTCTCTCTGACTAGAGAAATTAAATGTTAAAGAATAAGATTTTGTCAGGTAACATTGACCTTGGGAGGTCTACAAACTATTGTAAATAGCTAAGATTTTTTCTTGCCCTACCCTTGAACCAATTTTTGCCTCTGTGAGGACAATATTGCCCCCTTCTGAGAATACATGTACAAAATAATTATATATTTTTAAAGCCATTTAAACTTTTTTTTTTTTTTTTGAGGTGGAGTTTCACTCTTGTTGCCCAGGCTGTAGTGCAATGGTGCGATCTCAGCTCACTGCAACCTCCGCCTCCCAGGATCAAGCTATTCTCCTGCCTCAGCCTCCCAAGTAGCTGGGATTACAGGCGTGCGCCACCATGCCCAGCTAATTTTTGTATTTTTAGTAGAGATGGTGTTTCACCATGTTGGGCAGGCTGGTCTCGAACTCCTGAGCTCAGGTGATCCGCCCTCCTTGGGCTCCCAAAGTGCTGGGATTACAAGTGTGAGCCACTGTGCCAGGCCCATTAAAACTTGGTATAATATAAAAATTATATATGTTAGTATAATATAAAAATCTCCTATAGATACCTATTAAAGTTTTAGGTTGGGGATTAATCCTGGTTCTGAGTTACTAGATTAAATAATGGTAGCTTAATTTGCCTGAACTGAAATGTAAACTTGGATTTTATTGTTGGCCTTTTTTTTCTACACTTATTTGTAGTTATGTTTAAAAGCTTCTGCTAAAGGCATGTATTTCTGAATCGTAAGACTCTTTTATAAATTTTAAAAATTCTATAAAACATATAAAATTGTTTGATATCAAATTTTTCCCCTTCTTTCCAAGGTACGGTTTGATAGCATAGGTGGATTGAGCCATCATATTCATGCGCTAAAGGAAATGGTAGTATTCCCACTTTTATATCCAGAAATTTTTGAAAAGTTTAAAATTCAGCCTCCAAGGTAAGCAATGTCATAGATGTTTATTATTGTTATTACTGTTACTTTCTCAAATGTTATTTGAGTAAATTGCTATAAATATAAATATTTGATATATATTTATTTGACGTGTCCTAGCAATGACAGTTAGAAATGAAATGTTATTGTTTAGGGTCCAGAGGCCATGGAACTAAGTATGTTCTTGAAGTTTACATCTCAGGATTTAAGTCAGGCACTTGATAAGATTCTTTCTGTGGGCCCTAAATACACAACCAGATTGTCCAGATGGGTTTTTCTGAATTTGGCTCCCAGTGCATCGAGTTTGATGCTATATGTTATTTACTCTTGGAAGCACAGTTTTATTGATGTGTTTCTTTGACTTGATGATGGAGTATTTTTGAAATAGAGTGAGCTTGATAATTTATTTGTAGGAACAGATTGTGCCTGATCATGAGGTGGATAGCTGGGGAACTATTGGAAAAGGCAGATAAATTATGTTAAAGAAGATTGGGCAGAATAGAATATTCTGGCTGGGCACGGTGGCTCAAGTCTGTAATCCCAGTACTTTGGGATCCCGAGGTGGGTGGATCACCTGAGGTCAGGAATTCGAGACCAGCTTGGCCAACATGGTGAAACCTCGTCTCTACTGAAAATACAAAAATTAGCTAGGGGTGGTGTCATGCCTCTGTAATCCCAGCTACTCGGGAGGCTGAGGCATGAGAATCAGTTGAACCCAGGAAGCGGAGGTTGTAGTGAGCCGAGATTGCGCCTGGGTGACAGTGAGGATTCCGTCTCAGAAAAAAAAAAAAAGAATATTCAGAAGATACACATATAGGCTGTTAGATTTAAACTGATAAATGTCTGTTTTCTTTAAGGAGGCACTTTTTATTCAGATTTTGTTCTAATTTATTTTTCACGTTTTTAAGGATATGGAAAATCTTATTAAAGAGTCATTTGAATCTATCTATCATTCCTTTTGAGTATTTCTACATTATTTATTCTAAAGATGTGAAATTTCTGGGTCATTGGGAAACACATTTAAAATTTCTATATATCTTGCCAAATTACTCTGTACTTTATTTCTTGTCTGCCAAAGCTTGGTGATTTAAGGACTTAGCAAAGTAAAACTTTTGTCTATATCCTGGAAAAAGCTTTATCAATGTCTAATAATTATACTTCAATACAAAATTATATGGAAGGGGGGGACATTTTTTAAAATTGGTTATCAGCAGTGATGATAATATAATTTACACTTCTTGATTTTTTTATTCTTCTAGGGGCTGTTTGTTTTATGGCCCTCCTGGCACAGGTAAAACCTTGGTTGCCAGAGCATTAGCTAATGAATGCAGCCAAGGAGACAAAAAAGTGGCTTTTTTTATGCGAAAAGGAGCAGATTGTTTGAGCAAGTGGGTTGGTGAATCTGAAAGGCAACTTAGGCTTCTTTTTGATCAGGTAAGAGAAATCATCTAATTCAAGAGTCTTTTCTGTTCTGTTCTGTTCTTTTCTTTCTTTGTTTTTTTGAGACAGGGCCTCTCTCTGTTACCCAGGCTGGAGTGAGTGCAATAGCGTGATCTCGTCTCACTACTGTCTTGACATCCAGGGCTCTAGCAATTCTCCTGCATCAGTCCTTGCCCCAGTAGCCTGAACTACAGGTGTGCATCACCACGCCTGGCTGATTTTTGTATTTTTTATAGAGGTGGGATTTCACCACGTTGGCCAGCTGGTCTCGAACTCCTGGGCTCAAGCAATCTGCCTGCTGAGAATATTTTCTTTAGAATATTTAATACGTTTAATCTGCAAATACAAACTGTTTATGAGGAAGCATATTTTCCATCCAATATGTTATATTCAGGATTAGTAATCTGTGATTGTATGCCTTAGAGGCATTTAATGGCAGTTTCACTAGTACTTTTGAATATTTATGATGGCTCATAAAACATTTATTGAGGTGGCTGCGAGGTATATAATACCATGTTAGGTGCTTTAGACAACACAGGATATAACATATATATTGCTAGATTATAATCCATTGGGGAACTACAACAGGCATAAAAACTTAAGTATCTGTGCAAGAAATCTCACAAAGTAGTGTGTTATTTTCATGAGCTGTAAATACGGTACTAGAAGAATTCAGACATGAGTGAATGCTTTTAAAAGGCAGAGCAGGGTGAATAAATATCATGTGGACTATGTCTACTATTTATTTGTAACAAAAACTTTAAAGATATTATTTCCTATACGTTTTAAGAATTATTCCAGCTGGGCACAGTGGCTGACGCCTGTAATCCCGATATTTTAAGAGGCCAAGGCAGATGGATTGCATGAGCCCCGGAGTTCAAGGCTGCAGTGAGCGATTATGACACCACTGTACTACAGTCTGGGCAATAGAGTGAGACTCTGTCTCTCAAAAAAAAAAAAAAAAAAAAAAAAACCAGTCCAAATATAAATTCACTTTTGATTGTTTGAGTTAGTGAAGGATGCTGTTCATATTTGGCAATGCAGCATATATTTGATTATGTCTGAGGAAATTCACGTGAAATAAAAAATAACTTCAAGCTTTGAGCACCCATTACTGAGATGGTGTGTGTGAAAGTCCTTTGTAATTGGTAAAGTACTTCACAATTTTTTTTTTTTTTTTGAAAGGGTCACGCTCTGTCACCCAGGCTGGAGTGCAGTGATGTGATTATAGTTCACTGCAACCTCAAACTCCTGGACTCAAGTGATCTTCCGGCCTTGGCCTCTCTAGGTAGAACTACAGGTGTGCACTACCACACTTGCCTAATTTTCAACTTTTTGGAAAGACAGGGTCCCAAGGTGTTGCCTAGGCTGGTCTTGAAGTCCTGGCCTTCAGCTATCCTCCCGCCTTGGCCTCCCAAAGTGTTGGGATTATAGGCATGAGCCTCTGTGTCTGGCCCAGTACTATTTTAAAATTATTAATAGTATCAAAAACTGCTAGATTTAGAAAAAGGAGTAGGTAAGATTTTTACCTTGAACGTGTCCAGTGTCTAATGGCGAGTCAAACATGCAGTCTGAATGCTTCAAGAGAATTCATTAATAATCAAACAATAAAAATATAAACATTTATAGATGAAGGAAGAATTGGCTTGGCAATGCTGGCATATTATTCAATGATTTAATTTAAAAATTTTAAAGTTATACTTTTGTAGCCATTTCATACTTGGGCTAGGGATGCCTCTTAGTTTTATTTAAAACCATAGCATAAATCATGCTACTCCTTTTGTCTAAATTTATTTTATTTCTGTTTCATAGTTTTCTTGGTGGGAGGAATAGTTGAAATGTTTGCTGTATTTTTTAAGAAAATTGCTGGTAATCCTGATTTTTTTTTTTTTTTTTAATGAAAGATTCTGCATTCCTAAGTTAAGGATATGGTCTATGCACTAAATGAAATGAAGGCACTACAGTGTATTGGCTAAGAGAGTGGCCTTCTATGTCAGAAAAATGTTTGTATCTATCTTTACCATTGAATATAACATTAAGTAAATCAAAACATTTAATCTTTAGTAGCCTTTTTTGTGCAATGGTAGAAAGAATACCTATCTTACTAGACTGTTATGAGATTTCACTGAGAAGACACAAAATATTTATCACAGTGACTGGCACGTAATATGCCCTACCTCCTTTTTGCAATACTGTGAGGGTGTAGTTATAAAAAAAAAAAAAAAGGAAAAAAACAACAACAACAGTTGTTTGTTTCATGTATATAAAAATAGTGATCAACACTCCCAAAGCACTGGGATTACAGGTGTGAGCCACTGCACTGGGCCATAATTCCAGTTCTTTTAACTTTTTTTCCCCAAAACCCCTATCTTGTAGTTGAATTATTTATTTATTTATTTATTTGATATGGAGTTTCGCTTTTGTCGCCCGGGCTGGAGTGCAATGGCGTGATCTTGGCTCACTGCAACCTCCACCTCCTGGGTTCAGGTGATTCTCCTGCCTTAGTCTCCCAAGTAGCTGGGATTATGGGCACCTGCCACCATGTCCAGCTAATTTTTGTATTTTTAGTACAGACAGGGTTTCACCATGTTGGCCAGGCTAGTCTGGAACTCCTGACCTCAGGTGATCCACCTGCCTTGGCTTCCCAAAGTGCTGGGATTACAGGCGTGAGTTACCATGCTCAGCCTGAATTGTCTTTCATTTCAAATTATTAGGAAACATTAAAGTTTAGTGCATATCACTCAGGAGAAATGGAAAATTCATCTCTCTTCCTTAGTAAACTGACCTTCCTGTGAACTGAGAGTTTCCTTTAATTTTGAAACATAAGCTACATAAATTTGAGTAAATTATATGATAAAAACTTCTCATTTGTTATCTAATATTCATTCATCTTAAATCAGATTCTTTCTAGATCTAATACTTAAGTGAGAAAAATGACACTGCAAATGTACCAGATGAAAACATGGGAGAATTTTGTTTATGATCTCAGAGTAGGGAGGTCTAACTATGTAAGGAAAGATCTAGCACATAAAAGAAATTTTAAGATTCTGCATGGCAACAAAATACATATTTTTGTTTTGTGCCGTTAGAACAGAAGATCACAGACTGTGTAATTTAGAATGAACAGAAATTTACTGACTCATAGTTCTGGAGACGAGGAAGTCCAAAATCAAGGCATCTGGTCAGTGCCTTCTTGCTGTGTCATAACATGACAGAAGACAGCATCCATAGCAGAAGGGCAAAGAGAGAGAGAGAGAATGCACAAGATGGGGGCAAACCCACTATCACAATAATAAATCTACTCCTTAGATGTCAGCCACATTAGTCTATTTATGAGGGTGGAGGCCTCAAGACCTACACACTTTTTAAAGGTCCTACCTCCCAATACCTGTCACAATGACAATTAAATTTCTTTTTTTTTTTTTGAGGCTGAGTCTCGCTCTGTCACCCAGGCTGGAGTGCAGTGGCACAATCTCGGCTCACAGCAACTTCTGTCTCCCGGGTTCAAGCGATTCTCATGCCTCAGCCTCCCGAGTAGCTGGGATTACAGGTGCCCCCCCCGCCACGCGTGGCTAATTTTTGTGTTTTTAGTAGAGACGGCGTTTCACCATGTTGACCAGGCTGGTCTCGAACTTCTGACCTCAAGAGATCCGCCTGTCTCGACCTCCCAAAGTGCTGGGATTACAGGCATGAGCCACCAAGCCCGGCCGGCAATTAAATTTCAACATGAGTTTTGGAGGGGACAAACTCAAACCATAGCAATACTAATTCAAAAGATAAATGATACTCTTTGCAGAAAAATATTTGCATTTCCTATTACAGACAGAGCATTCACCTTTAAAATAAATAAATAAGCCTGGGCAACGTGGTGAAACCCTGCCTCTATAAAAATACAAAAATTAGCCAAGTGTGTTGGCATGGACCTGTAGTCCTAGCTACTTAGGTGGCTGAGGCGGGAGAATTGATTGAGCTGGTGGGTGGAGGCTGAGGTGAGCTGTGATTATGTCACTGCACTCCAGCCTGGGTGAGAGAGTGAGACCTTGTCTCAAAAATTCAAAATAAATAAATAAATAAATAAATAAGTAGCTTCTAGAACTCACTAAGCAAAAGACTAGTGATCTTGTGAAGTAATGGGCAGCATAGGAAAAGCAATATAAATGACTTTTATGGATATATAATGTATCCATCTTATAAATAAGAATTGAAAATAAAATGAGATAACATTCTTTATCCTAAAAAATTAGCAAAGGTCAATAAGTTTGATAATACATTGCTGGTGAGCACCCTTAAATATTGCTGGTTAGAGGGTAAAATGATACTTCAGTGGATGGCAATTTGCAAATATCTAACTAGATTAGAAATGACACATGCCTTTTGAGCTAGTAGTTCTACTTTTAGGATTTATTATATTAATATGTTTATACTCATATGAAATGATAAATACAGTTATTTATTTACTATTATTTGTTACAATATTGTTGCCAATAGGAAAATATTGAAAACAGCCTAAGTATCCATAAGAAGGGGACAGGTTTAACTGTGGCACATCCATACGGTGGGACATCATATAGCTGTTGAAAACGAATGAGGCAGGCTGGACACAGTATCTCAGACCTGTAATCCCAGCACATTGGCAGGCCGAGGTGGAAGGGTCACTTGAGCCCAAGAGTTTGAGACCATCCCGGGCAACATAGTGAGAACTCATCTCTCCAAATACTTAAAAATTAGCTGGGCGTGTTGGTCCCTGCCTGTAGTCCCAGGTACTCTGGAGGCTGAAGCAAGAGGATTGTTTGCATTTGAGGTTGTAGTGAGCTGTGATCATGCCACTGCACTCAAGCCTGAGTGACAGAGTAAGACCCTGTCTGAAGAAAAAAAAAAAAAAAAAGAATGAGACAGGTCTTAAGTATACGGAAATTACTTAACAACATACATTGTTATATAAAAAGAATGTGTAGGCTGAGTGCGGTGGCTCACGCCTGTAATCCCAGCACTTTGGGAGGCCGAGGTGGGTGGATTACCTGAGGTGAGGAGTGTGAGAACAGCCTGGCCAACATGATGAAACCCCATCTCTACTAAAAATACAAAAATTAGCCAGGTATGGTGGCACATGCCTGTAATCCCAGCTACTCGGGAGGCTGAGGCAGGAGAATCAGTTGAACCCGGGAGGCGGAGGTTGCAGTGAACCAAGATTGCACCACTGTACTCCAGCCTGGGTGACAGAGCAAGACTCTGTCTCAAAAAATAAATAAATAAATAAATAAAACCTAAAACAAATAAATAAAAAGAATGTGTGTGGTGTGCTATCATGCGTGTTTAAAAAATACTCTTTGGTGGCCGGGTGTGGTGGCTCACACCTGTAATCCCAGCACTTTGGGAGGTCGAGGCGGGCAGATCACGAGGTCAGGAGATCGAGACCATCCTGACTAACGTGGTGAAACCCTGTCTCTACTAAAAAATACAACAAAATTAGCCGGGCGTGGTGGTGTGCGCCTGTAGTCCCAGCTACTCAGGAGGCTGAGGCAGGAGAATGGTGTGAATCTGGGAGACGGAGCTTGTAGTGAGCCGAGATCGTGCCACTGCACTTCAGCCTGGGTGACAGAGCGAGACTCCGTCTCAAAAAAAAAAAAAAAAAAAATACACTTTGGTTTGTGTATAAGTATGTATGGAAGAATAAACAAACTGAAAACAGTAGTTGCTTACTGGAGGAGACATGGTTGTTGGAAACTGGGTGGTAAGATTTCCTCGTTGCTATATACTCCTTCATACCTGCTGCATGTTGTACCATTTGCTTTTATTACCTATTAAGAAAATATAATAAATTTTAAAAATGAAAACAAATACAATAAATATTATTTGTTTTCTTCTTACTAGGCATATTTGATGAGACCTTCTATAATATTTTTTGATGAAATAGATGGATTAGCTCCAGTTCGCTCTAGCAGACAAGATCAGATCCACAGGTAATTTTTCTTTATCTGATTATCTTGATTTCTTTTTTACGCATTGACTTGGTAGTTAGCCTTAGCCCTTAGCTAAGTGCTATGAGGCTTACAAAGAAATTTAAAACAATCTGTGTCTGTGAGGACTACTTCTTTCTCTTAGTACAGGGGTCAGCACACCACAGCCTGTGAGCCAAATCCAGGCCTCTGTGTGTTTTTGTAAATGAAGTTATATTGGAATACAACCATGTTCATTCCTTAAGCATTGCATGTGGTTTCTTATGTGCTACAATAGTAGAGTTCAGCAGCTGTGATAGAGAGACCGAATGCGTTGCAAAGTTTAAAACATTTACTATGTGGGCTTTTAATTTTTTTTTTTTTTAATTTATTTTAGAGACGAGTTCTTGCTCTCTTGCCTAGGCTGGTTTTCAACTCCTGGCCTCAAACCATCCTCCCCAGTCAGCCTCCCAAAGTGCCGAGATTACAGGCGTGAGCCACTGTGTCCAGCCTATCTGACCTTTTACAGAAAAAGTTTTCTCATCCTAATTTAGCATAATTTTTTGGTTTTTTTTTTTAGAGTCAGAGTCTCACCCTGTCACCCAGGCTGGAGTGCAGTGGCGTAATCGCGGCTCACTGCAACCTCCACTTCCTGGGTTCAAGTGATTCTTATGCCTCAGCCTCCCAAGTAGCTGGGATTACAGGCATGTGCTGCCATGCCTGGCTAATTTTGTATTTTTAGTAGAGATGGGGTTTCGCCATATTGGCCAGGCTGGTCTTGAACTCCTGGCCTCAAGTGATCTGCCTGCCTCCGCCTCCCAAAGTGCTGGGATTATAGATGTGAGCTACTGTGTCTGGCCTCGATGTCATGTATGCTAATATTTTATTCTTTTTCACTCCCCAGGAGTATTCCTTAATGTATATGTGTGTGTGTATACTACTATTTATTTTTCAATCTACCATCTGATGGGAGATTTGTTTTGCTTCTATTTTTAGCTATTATGATAATGCTCAACCTGCTACAGGTTGAGCATCCCAAATCCAAAAATCTGAAATCTGAAATGTTCCAACATTTGAAACTGTTTGAATTTTCACATGACACTCAAAGGAAATGCTCATCAAAGCTTTTTCAGTTTTGGATTTTGGGATTCAGGAAGCTCCACTGGTAAATATAATGCAAATATTCCAAAATCTGAAAAATATCCCAAGTTTAAAATAATTCTGGTCTGAAGCTTTTTTTTTTTTTTTTTGAGATGGAGTCTCACTCTGTTGCCCAGGCTGGAGTGCAGTGGCGGGATCTTGGCTCACTGCAACCTCTGCCTCCCGGGTTCAAGCAGTTCTCCTGCCTCAGCCTCCCAAGTAGGTGGGATTACAGGCATGTGCCACCACGCCTGGCTATTTTTTTTGTATTTTTAGTAGAGACTGGGTTTCACCATATTGGCCAGGCTGGTCACGAACTCCTGACATTGTGATCCACCCGCCTCAGGCTCCCAAAGTGCTGGAATTACAGGCATGAGCCACCATGCCCGGCCGGTCCAAAGCATTTTTAAGAGACTGGATCTCATTCTCTTACCTAGGCTGGAGTGCAATGGTGTGATCATAGCTCACTGTAACCTCAAACTTCTAGGCCCAAGTGATCCTACTGCCTCAGCCTCCTGAGTAGCTAGAACTACAGGCATGCAGTACCCCACCTGGCTAATTTTTGTATTTGTTGTAGAGACGGAGTCTCGCTATGTTTCCCTGGTTGGTTTCTGACACCTAGTCTCAAGCGAGCCCTCCATCTT
The DNA here is from genome assembly GCF_000001405.40 of Homo sapiens. Classification (NCBI taxonomy): domain Eukaryota; kingdom Metazoa; phylum Chordata; class Mammalia; order Primates; family Hominidae; genus Homo; species Homo sapiens. Next base: position 23,855,654 of record NC_000002.12, on the reverse strand, counting down.
GGCCTCTCAAAGCGTCTCTACAAGTTTTTGTGTGGACATGTTTTCTTTTCTGTTGGGTAAATCCCTGAGAGAGGAATTTCTGGAGCCTATGGTAAATGTGTGTTTAAGTTTCTAAGGTAACACTGTACTGTTTTCCAAAGTGGTTTTACCATTTTTATTTTCCTATAACGTATGATAATTTGAGTTGTTCCTCATCCTTGCCAACAATTGGTGGTGTTAACTGTCTTTAACTTTAGCCATCCTAGTGGGTGTACAGTAATGGATTTAATTTGCATTAATAGTAATACAAATAATATTAAGCTTTAATATTAATCCAATAATATTGAGCATCTTTGTGTTTATTGCCTGTTTATATATTTTCATTTGTGAAATGTCTGTAAATCTTTTGCGCCATTTTTTAAAACTAGAAATTAGATTGTGTGTCTTGTTGTGTTGTAGTCCTTGTGTTTTTTTTTTTTTTTTGAGACAGAGTCTTGCTCTGTTGCCCTGTTGGAGTGCAGTGGTGCGATCTCAGCTCACTGCAACCTCCGCACCCCGCATTGAAGCGATTCTCCTGGCTCAGCCTCTCGAGTAGCTGGGATTACAGGTGTGCACCACCATGCCCGGCTAATTTTGTATTTTTAGTAGAGACAGGGTTTTGCCATGTTGGCCAGACTGGTCTCGAACTCTTGACCTCAAGTGATCTGCCTGCCGTGGCCTCCCAAAGTGCTGGGATTACAGGCATGAGACAATACCCCTGGCCCAGTCTTTGTTTTGAAATTTTTTTCCAGTGTTCTGGCTTGTATCTTTGTTTGCTTAGTTAGGACTTTTGAAGAGTCAGGATTTGAATTTTGATAAAGCCACCATATAGATTTAAAAAATGTATCTGTGCCTTTTGTGTTCTGCTTGAGAAAAGTTGCCTAAATAAGTGTGGCAATAATTTTCTTGGATGTTTTCTTTGAAAATATTAATAGCGTTAGCTTTTTTTTTTTTTTTTGAGACGAAGTCTCGATCTTGTGCCCCAGGCTGGAGTGCAATGGCACGATCTTGGCTCACTGCAACCGCCGCCTGCCAGGTTCAAGCGATTCTCCTGCCTTGGCCCCCCGAGTAGCTGGGATTACAGGTGCCTGCCACCACGCCTGGCTAATTTTTGTATTTTTAGTAGAGGTGGGGTTTCACCATATTGGCCAGGCTGGTCTAGAACTCCTGACCTCAGGTGATCCACCCACCTCGGCCTCCCAAAGTGTTGGGCTTACAGGCATGAGCCACTGTTCCCAGCCAGTGTTAGCTCTTAATATTTAAGTCAATGATTCATTTTACGTTAATGTTTGTGTATCAGTAAGAGGTGAGGGTTTAAGTTAATTTTTGTAGATAGTTTAAGGTATGGACTGAAGTTTATTTTTTTAATACAGGTATTCTTTTTTTTTCTTTGAGACGGAGTGTCACTCTGTTGCCCAGGCTGGAGTGCAGTCGCGCGATCTCAGCTCACTGTAGCCTCCACCTCCCAGGTTCAAGTGATTCTTGTGCCTCAGCCTCCTGAGTAGCTGGGATTACAGGTGTGTGCTACCATGCCTGGCGAATTTTTGTATTATTAGTAGAGGTATGTTTCACCATGTTGGCCAGGCTGGTCTCGAACTTCTGACCTCAGGTGATTCTCCTGCTTCGGCCTCCCAAAGTGCTGGTATTACAGGCATGAGCCACCATGCCCAGCCTATTTTTTTATACAGATACTCATTTGTTCCAGAACCATATATTGAAGAGTTTACTTTGTTAAATTTCTTGGCACGTCTTTGACAAAAATTGACCATATAAATGTGTGTCTATTTCTAGATTTGTTAGTTGATTCCATTGATCTACAGGTCTATCCTTATACCACTGTCTTGATTAATGTTCATTTTAGTATAAGTCCTCCAAATTTGTTCTTTTTCAGAATTGTTGTAGTCATCTATTATCTTTCCATTTACATTTCTAAAGCCTCTTGTCAGTTTCTTTAGAAAAGACTGTTGGGATTTATTTGGGATTGCAATTAATCCTTCGATCTATTTGGGAAGAATTGCATCCTTATTCGTCTTTCAGTCTATGAACATGGTAATTCTGTTCATTTATTTAGGTATTCTTTAATTTCCTTTTCCTGTGTCTTATGGTTTTAGCATAAGGATCTTAGGCATCTTTTGTTTAATGCATCCCTAAATACTTTATTGTTCATTTAATGTGAATGGAGTTTTGAAAGAAAATTTATTTTCTAATTGCTTACTGCTGGTTTATAAAAATACAACTGAGTTTATAGACTTTGTATCCACAACCTTGCTAAATTCATTTGTTAGTTCTATTAGCTATTTTGTGGTTTCCTTACGGTTTTATACATATACCTTATCTGCAAATAAAGGTACTTCTACTTCTTCCTTTCCAATCTATGTCTTTTATTTCTTTTTCTTATTTCTTTGGCTAGAATTCAGTTAAATAGTAATGGTGATAATGGAAATCACTGCCTGTTTCCTTCATTGGCTGTAAAACATTGAGACTTTAACCATTGAATGTGATTTTAACTAAGTTTTTCATAGGTGCCCTTTATTACATTGAGGGATTTCCACTATATTCCTAGTTTGCTGTGAGAGTTTATTTTACTGGGATAGAGTACTGAACTTTGTAACATATTTTTTTTTCTGTCTCTTTTGAATTGATCATATGGCTTTTCTCCTGTATTCTATTAAGGTAGAGCATTATTTTGATTGAATTTTAGATTTTTTTTTTTTTTTGGAGATGGAGTCTCGCTCTGTCGCCCATGCTGGAGTGCAATGGCGTGATCTCGGCTCACTGCAACCTCCACCTCCTGGGTTCAAGTGATTCTCTTGCCTCAGCCTCCCGAGTACCTGGCATTACAGGTGTCTGCCACCGTGCCTGGCTAATTTTTGTGTTTTTAGTAGAGACAGGGTTTCACCATGTTGGTCAGGCTTGTCTTGAACGCCTGACCTCAGGTGATCCACCTGCCTCGGCCTCCCGAAGTGCTGGGATTACAAGTGTGAGCCACTGCGCCTGGCCTGAATTTTAGATAGTAAACTAACTTTGCATTCTTAGAATAAACCTCACTTGCTCATAATATATTGTCTTTCTTAAAAAATTATTGGATTCCACTTGCTAATATAAAAAGTTTTATTATCTGTATTAATGAGATTTTGATCTGTAATTACTCTTAAAATATCTGCATCTGGTTTTGGAATCAGGTAATTTTGATGTGTATTAGATGAGATATACACTGGGTGTGATGGTGCATGCCTGTAATCTCAACACTTTGAGAGGCTGAGGCAGCAGGATCTCTTGAGTCTAGGAGTGCAAGAGCAGCCTGGGCAACATAGTGAGACCCTGTCTCTTAAAAAAAAAAAGATGAGATGGCATTCCCTCTTTCTCTATTTTCTGAAAGTGTTTGTGTAAGTTTGATGTTATTCATTTCTTAAGTGTTTGAGAGAATTCACCAGTGAAAATACCTGGGCCTGGAGTTTTGTTTATGGAAAGGTTTTTGATTACAAGTTAAATTTCTTCAGTTGATACAGGGCTGTTCAAGTTTTCTATTTATTCTTAGGTCAGTTTTGTTAGTTTGGTAGTTTATCTTTAAAGGAATTTGTTCATTTCACCTAAGTCAAGAAATTTACATACATTTTTTCCTACTATTCTGTTATCTCCTTAATGCCTAAATAGTCTGCGGTAGTATTCTTTTCATTTCCGATGGTGATAACCTGTGTTTTCTCTTTTTTTTTTTCTTGATTACTCCGGCTAGAGGATTATCAATTTTATTGGTCCTTTCTCCCCCAAAGAGGCAACTTCTGTTTTCATAGATTTTCTACTATTATTTTTGTTTCCAATTTTATACTACCTTTTTTCTTATATTTTTAAAAATTAGTAGACTGAGGGGGATTTGTAGGCAGAGTATAAAAGATTTTTTAGGGCAGTGAAAATAGTCTGTGTTATACTGTAAGAGTGGATCCACATCATGATATGTTTGTCCAAACCCATAGAATGTATATCATCAAGCGTGAACCTTAATGTAAACTGTGGACTTTGTAGATTGTGATGTGTCATTGTAGGTTCATCAGTTGAAATAAGTGCACCACTCTGTTGGGGCATGGGTATACATATGAAGGGGCAGGCGGGGGACGTATGAAAGTCTCTGTATTTCCTTCTCAATTTGGCTGTTAACCTAAAACTGCCCTAACAAATGGTCTTAAAAATAGACTATTCATGACTGGGCACAGTGGCTCACACTTGTAGTCCCAGCACTTTGGGAGGCCAAGGACAGTGGATCTCTTGAGCTCAGCAGTTTGAGACCAGCCTGGGCAATGTGGCAAAACCGTGTCTCTACTAAAAGTACAAAAATTAGTTGGGTGTGGTGTGCCTCTCGTCCTAGCTACTTGGGAGGCTGACGTGAGAGGATCACTTGAGCCTGGGGAGGTCAAGGCTGCAGTGAGCCACAATCGTGCCACCGAACTACAGCCTAGGTGAGAGAGTGAGGCCCTGTCTCAGAAAACAAAAAATCTCTATAAAACTGGGTAGCTTAGAAATAGCAGAACATTATTTGTCATATTTCTGGAGGCTGGGATGTCCAAGATCAGGGTGCCAGCAGATTTAGTGTCTGGTGAGGACCTGCTTTCTGGTTCTGATGACTTCTCTTGTGTCCTTAAATGGTAGAAAAGACCAGCTAGCTTTTTCAGGTCTCTTTTATGAAGGCAGGAATCCTCTTTATGAGGGTTTTGCCCTTGTGTCCTAATTACCTCCCAAAGGTTCCACCTCTTAACACTCTTAACACCTTAGCTCTTAACTCTTAATACCTCTTAACAACATTACATTGGTGATTAGGTTTCAATGTGTGAATTTTAGGGGAATAGAAACATTCCATTCATAGCAGGCAGTTTTAGGGTTTCAACAAATGTGTAATGACACGTATCTGCTCTTACAGTATCATACAGAATATTTTCACTTCCCCCAAATCGTCTATTCATTCATCCCCCCTTCTCTTCTGCCCTGCAGAGCCCTCCCTATCTCCCCAGCAACCACTGATCTTTTTACTATCTCCATAATTTTGCCTTTTCCAGAATGTCATATAGTTGGACTCAAACAGTATGTAGTTTTTTCAGATTGGCTTCTTTTATATAGCAGTATGTATTTCAGGTCTCCCAAGTCTTTTCTGTTTGTTTTTAATTTAACTCCCTTTTTCAGATTAAGATGGAAGCTTAGAAATTGATTGAAACTTTTCTTTTTTTCTAATATAGGCATTGACACCTGTAAATTTCCCTCTAAGCAATGCTTTAGCTACATCCCACAGTTTTTGACATGTATTCACTGTCATTCAGTTCAAAATAATTTCCAATTCCTCTTGTCATTTTTTCTTTGACACAGTCATTGTGTATTTAATTTAGATGTGTATTTAATTTACAAATAGCTGTGGTTATTTTTCCTGATTATTTTATTGTTATTTACTTCTAATTTAGTTTTATTGTGATCTAGAGATCATAACTCTTAAAGTCATTTTTTTTTTTTTTTTTTTTGAGACGGAGTCTTGCTCTGTTGCCCACTCCAGCAGTGGCGCGATCTCAGCTCACTGCAAGCTCCGCCTCTCGGGTTCAGGCCATTCTCCTGCCTCAGCCTCCTGAGTAGCTGGGACTACAGAGGCATGCCACCACACCCAGCTAATTTTTTTTGTATTAAAGTCATTTTTAAATTTATTGCATTCTCCTTTATGTCCCAGTGTATCCTGTGAATTTGCATTCTGCCATTTATGGTATAGTGTTCTATAAATATAAAATAAGACAAGGCATTAATAGTGTTAAGCAGACTCTTTTGTGGGGTTTTATTTTTTTGAGACGGAGTCTCACTCTGTCGCCCAGGCTGGAGTGCAGTGGCTCTGTCTGGCTTACTGCAACCTCCGCCTCCAAGGTTCAAGTGATTCTTCTGCCTCAGCCTCCTGAGTAGCTGGGATTACAGGCATGCACCACCATGCCCAGCTAATTTTTGTATTTTTGTAGAGATGGGGTTTCACCATGTTAGCTAGGCTGGTCTTGAACTCCTGACTTCAAGTGATCTGCCTGCCTCGACAGGCAGTGCTGGGATTACAGGCGTGAGCCACTGTGTCTGGCCTCTTTTGTTTTCTTACAGATGTTTAGGTCTAATTCTATTGATTGCAGAGACAAATATGTTAAAATGTCCAGCTATAATGAATTCTTTGTCCCTTTAATTCTGCTAGTTTTTGTCTCACATATTTTGAAATTTTATATTAGTTTCATACACATTTATTGCATCTTTATGTTGATGTTGCTTTCTTATATTATGAAATGTCCATGTTTATCTTGTAATACACTTAATTTTGAAATTTATTTTTATCAGATAATAATTCACCTATTCTAGACTTCATGCTGTTTGTGTGGTATATTTTTTGCCATTAACTTGCTTTCAACCTGTGTTGTTCATAGACTATATAAAGTTGGGTCTTATTTTCTTAATTGCATTGTCTCTTAATTTTAATTTGACTGTTTAGTCAATGTTTAATGTAATTATTGATATATTTGAATTGGGGATCATTTCATTTCCATTTTCTATTTGTGTCTGCTGTTTTCTTTTTCTGTTTCTTTTTTGCCTTTTTAAAAAACACTTTGAAACTTTGAAAGTTTTTTTTTAGAGTCTCAATTTTGCTATTGAGTTTTAAAAAGAGCTTTATTGAGGTATAATATATATACTATATGTATGTACACAATATTGACATTGATAAAGAGTAAAACTTGGAAGGTTTTAACATACATATATACTTGTGAAGCCATAACTACAGTCAAGACAATGAAAATACCATTTCCTTCAAAATGGACACTTATACATTTAGTGTGATTATTGATATGGTTAGGTTTAAATTTATCATCTAGATGATTTTCTCTTAGCCTGTTTCTTGTTTTCCCTTTTCCTATTGTTCCACCTTCATTTGGATTAGTTGAATATTTTTTATGATTCCAGTTTGTTTCCATTGCTGGCTTATTAGCCATTACTGTTTATTATTTTCATAGTAACTTTAGGGTTTATGGTATATGTCTTTAACTTGTAACCATCTACCTTCAATTGATGATAGGCCATTTCACATATAATATGGGAACCTTGAAATAGTATACTTGCATTTTTCTTCTCCTGAGGTTTGTGCTATTGTCATACATTTTTTATTTTTTGAGACAGAGTCTCACTCTGTCACCCAGGCTGGAGTGTAGTGGCGCAGTCTCGGCTCACTGCAACCTCTGCCTCCCGGGTTCAAGCAGTTCTCCTGCCTGAGCCTCCTGCGTAGCTGGAATTGCAGGTGCACGCCACCATGCCTGGCTAATTTTTGTGTTTTTAGTAGAGACACGGTCTCGAGCTCCTGACTGCAAGTGATCCGCCTGCCTTGGCCTACCAAAGTGTGGGGATTATAGGTGTGAGCCATTGTGCCTGGCCTTGTACATTTTATTTTTAAAACTTTAAAAACTTTTGAAGAAATGTAAATAAAAATATCTTAAATATTTTTTATACTTACCATTTCTGGTGCTCTCTATCCTTTTGTAGATGTTCATATTTCCAGTTAGTATCAGTTTCTTTATGTATACGTTTCTTACAGTGTGGGCCTGCAAGTGACAAGTTCTTTTGGCTTTTCCATATCTGAAAACACTTTTTTTTTTTTTTTTTGGGATGAAGTCTCACTCTGTTGCCCAGGTCAGAGTGCAGTGGTGCGATCTCGGCTCACTGCAACCTCCGCCTCCTGGGTTCAAGCGATTCTCCTGCCTCAGCCTCCCGAGTAGCTGGGGCTACAGCTGCGTGCCACCACGCCTGGCTAATTTTTGTATTTTTTTTTTTTTAGTAGAGATGGGGTTTTACCATATTAGCCAGGCTGATCTTGAACTCCTGACCTTGTGATCCGCCCACATCGGTCTCCCAAAGTGCTGGGATTACAGGCATGAGCTACCACACCTGGCTGAAAGCACATTTTTTTTTTTTTAAAACAAAAGCAAAAACAGCTTTGTTTTTGAGACAGCGTCTCATTCCCTTCACCAAGGCTGTAGTGCAGTGGTGTGATCATGGCTCCCTGCAGCCTCGACTGATCCTCCCACCTTAGCCTCCCAAATAGCTGGGGCCACAGGTGTGTGTGCCACTGTACCCACCTGACTTTTTTTTTTGAGATGGAGTCTTACTCTGTCGCCCAGGCTGGAGTGCAGTGGCGCAATCTCTGCTCATGGCAACCTCCGCCTCCCAGGTTCAAGCCACTCTCCTGCCTCAGCCTCCCAAGTAGCTGGAGCTACAGGTGTGTACCAACCACGCCTGGCTAATTTTTTCATTTTTAGTAGAGACAGGGTTTCACCATATTGGTCAGGCTGGTCTCGAACTCCTGACCTTGTGATCCGCCTGCCTCGGCCTCCCAAAGTGCTGGGATTACAGGCATGAGCCAAAGCGCCCAGCCACTTTTTGAATTTTTAGTAGTGATAAGGTTTCACCATGTTGCCCAGGCTAGTCTCAAGCTCCTGGGCTCAAGTGATATGCCCGCCTCACCCTCCTGTGTCTGGCCAAAACAGCTTTATTGAGGTATATTTATATGTCATAAAATTTGCTCATTTTAAGTGTATAGTTTAGTAATTTTTAGAGTACCTCAACAAAGTGGTACAACTATTGATATAAATCAATTTTAGAACATCTTTCTACCCCTAATAAGATCCAGCATGAGGTGGGGTGCAGTTACTCTTGCTTGTAATTCCAGCACTTTGAGAGGCTGAGGCAGGCAGATCGCTTGAGCCCAGGAATTTGAGACCAGCCTGGCCAACATAGTGAAACCCAGTCTCTACAAAAACTACAAAAATAAGCTGGGTGTAGTGGTGCATGCCTGTGGTCTCAGAGACAGGGTTTCACCATATTGGTCAGGCTGGTCTCGAACTCCTGACCTTGTGATCCGCCTGCCTCGGCCTCCCAAAGTGCTGGGATTACAGGCATGAGCCAAAGCGCCCAGCCACTTTTTGAATTTTTAGTAGTGATAAGGTTTCACCATGTTGCCCAGGCTAGTCTCAAGCTCCTGGGCTCAAGTGATATGCCCGCCTCACCCTCCTGTGTCTGGCCAAAACAGCTTTATTGAGGTATATTTATATGTCATAAAATTTGCTCATTTTAAGTGTATAGTTTAGTAATTTTTAGAGTACCTCAACAAAGTGGTACAACTATTGATATAAATCAATTTTAGAACATCTTTCTACCCCTAATAAGATCCAGCATGAGGTGGGGTGCAGTTACTCTTGCTTGTAATTCCAGCACTTTGAGAGGCTGAGGCAGGCAGATCGCTTGAGCCCAGGAATTTGAGACCAGCCTGGCCAACATAGTGAAACCCAGTCTCTACAAAAACTACAAAAATAAGCTGGGTGTAGTGGTGCATGCCTGTGGTCTCAGAGACAGGGTTTCACCATATTGGTCAGGCTGGTCTCGAACTCCTGACCTTGTGATCCGCCTGCCTCGGCCTCCCAAAGTGCTGGGATTACAGGCATGAGCCAAAGCGCCCAGCCACTTTTTGAATTTTTAGTAGTGATAAGGTTTCACCATGTTGCCCAGGCTAGTCTCAAGCTCCTGGGCTCAAGTGATATGCCCGCCTCACCCTCCTGTGTCTGGCCAAAACAGCTTTATTGAGGTATATTTATATGTCATAAAATTTGCTCATTTTAAGTGTATAGTTTAGTAATTTTTAGAGTACCTCAACAAAGTGGTACAACTATTGATATAAATCAATTTTAGAACATCTTTCTACCCCTAATAAGATCCAGCATGAGGTGGGGTGCAGTTACTCTTGCTTGTAATTCCAGCACTTTGAGAGGCTGAGGCAGGCAGATCGCTTGAGCCCAGGAATTTGAGACCAGCCTGGCCAACATAGTGAAACCCAGTCTCTACAAAAACTACAAAAATTAGCTGGGTGTAGTGGTGCATGCCTGTGGTCTCAGCTACTCGGGAGGTTGAGGTGGGAGGATTGCTTGAGCCCAGGAGGTCGAGGCTGCAGTGTGTTTTGATTGTGCCACTGCACTCTAGCCTGGGTGAGAGAGTGAGACACTGTCTCAAAAAAAAAAAAAAAAAAAAAAAAAAATTCCAGCATGCCCATTTACAGTAAATTCCTTTTCCTGCCCACAGCCAACCACTAATCTAATCTCTGTATAGATTGGCCTTTTCTAGACATTTTGTATTATTAAAATCATATACTATGTGGTTTCTTGTGTCTGGCTTTTTTTTGCTAAGTATAATGGTTTTGAGGAACATCCATGATATAATATGGGTCAGTATTTTGTTCTTTTTTATTGCTGAACAGTATTCTTATTGTATGGCTATACAACACACTGGACGGACATTTAGGTTGTTTCCAGTTTGGGCTATTATGAATATTACTGTGAACGTTCAATGCAAATGTTTGTGTAGAACATATATTTTTTATCGCTCTTGGGTAGAGATAAGGAGTGAAACTGCTAGGCAGGATGGTAGTTTTATGTTTAACTTTTTGAGAACTTAGCCTTTGTTTTTGAAGGGTATTTTCTCTGGGTATAAAATTTGAAGTCGACACTTTTTTCTTTTTCTTTCCGTGCTTTAAAGATGTTGGTCTTTCTTCTTCTCATTTGTATTGCTTCAGTAATGAATTATGCTTTTATTTCTATTTTTGTTTCTTTGTATGTAATGTATCTTTTTTCTGGGTACATTTAGGTTTTTTTTTCCTTCTTGACTGGTTTTGTGCAATTTAATGATATATCTTGGTGGAGTTTTCTCCCCTTTTCTCATTCTTGAATTGAGCTTCTTGGGTGTGTTTTTCATCAAACTTGTAAAATTTTTGGCCACTATTTCTTCATTATTTTTTCTGTCGTCCCCACCTCCTGTCTCCTCTTTCCTTTTGGGACTCTAATTACACATATGTTAAGTTTCTTGATGTTGTCCCATAGTTTGCCGAAACTTTGTTAATTTTGCTTTAAATTATCTTTTCTGTGTTTCATTTTGGTTAGTTTCTGTTGCTGTGAGTTTTAGTTCACTAATCTTTTCTTTTGAAATGTCTAATCTGCTATTAATCCTATTCATTATGTTTTTGCCTCATGTTTTTGTTTTCATCTATACATATACATATAGAACTTTTCAATATCTGGAATATAGTTATAATGCCTACTTTAATGCCTTTGGCAATTCTAATATTGTATTTCTGGGTTAGTTTTATTTTATTGATTTTTCTCATTACGGATTGTGTTTTCCTGTTTCATTGCATGCTTTGCAGTATTTATTGGATGCCAGATGTAACTTTTACCTTGTTGAGTGCTAGCTATGTTACTGTAAGTAGATATTCTTGAAGTGGTTTTGTTGTGTGTTTTTTTTTTTCCTTTTGAGACACAGTTAATCAACTTGAAAACAGTTTGATTCTTTGGAATCTTGCTTTTAAGATTTGTCGGCTGGGCGCAGTGGCTCATGCCAGTAATCCCAGCACTTTGGGAGGCCGAGGCGTGTGTATCACCTGAGGTCAGGAGTTTGAGACCAGCCTGGCCAACATGGTGAAACCTTGCCTCTACTAAAAATACAAAAAATTAGCTGGGCATGGTGGCGGGTGCCTGTAATCCCAGCTACTTGGGAGGCTGAAGCAAGAGAATCACTTGAACCTGGGAAGTGGAGGTTGCGGTGAGCTGAGATGACGCCACTGCACTCCAGCCTGGGTGACAGAGTGAGACTCTGTCTCAAAAAAACAAAAACAAAAACAAAGATTTGTGATACGGATCTTGAGTAGCCCTGAGTGTAGGACTAATTATTCCCTGCTACTGATGCAGTATCCTTTTATGTATTTATGGGCAATGACCTTTGAATCATGAGGTTTACCAGTTCGGTGGGTGGGAACTGGCACTATTCCTGGCTCTCTGTGAGTGTAGAGTACTCTTATTTCTAGTTCTTCTGAGTGTTTTTTTCCCCAAGCCTTGGGTAGTTTCATCACATGTATGCAGTGATTGGTGTTTAAATGAAGAGCTGAGGAGTTTTGTGTACATTTCCTGAGTTTGCTTTCTGTGGAGCAGTCTCCTCTGTGGTACTTTTTCCTGTAGACTCTAGTCGTCTTGGTCTCCCTGGAATCTCAACTCCGACTCTTCCGCTTAGTGAGTTAGCTGGCCTCTGCCAGGATTCCATCTGCCTGTATCACAGCCCGTAATTGGAGAGCCATTAATTAGATTGTTGTTCCCACATTTTGTAATATTTGGGTTTTCTCTTGCTGCTTTCAGTATCTTGCTCTGTATCTTTTACTTTCAACAGTTTAGCCATGACATGCCTCTGTGTGGCTTTCTTTGTGTTTATTCTGATTTTGTGTCTACAAATTTGTCATTTTTCAGTCTTTTTCTGTTTTCACCTTGGATAATTTTTGTCTGTCTTTAGTCAGTCTTCACTTATTTTTGCTTTGTCATGTCCATTTGGTTATGTTCATCCAACACATTTTTTTATTTCAGAAATTGTATTTTTCAGTCCTAGGACTTACATTTGATTGTTTTTCATTGTTTCTGTTTTTCCAATGTGATTTTCATGCATTTAAGCATGTTTTATTTTATTTAATTGAGCTTCGTTACAATAGTTGCTTTAAAATTCTGTTATGTTAGCTTCAACATTTGGTTTATCTCATGTTAGACCCACTTGGTTTTCTTTTCTCTTGAGAATGTGTTCTTTTTATTGGTTCTTAATTTGTTGGGCAGTTTTGGATTGTGTCCTGGATATTATTATTGTTAGTTTTTGGAGACTCTGGATTCTGTTATTTTTATTTTATGAGCCACATTTCCTTTTTCTTAGGAGACAATTTTCTGAGTTAGGCTTGAAATGCATTCAGTTTCTTAACTGGGAGCTTTGATCTCCTTTCAAACCTTTTGTCTTTAGCTAGATCCTTTGAGTCTGCTCCTTGCTTTGTTCAGGACCAGCTAGAGATCTGGGTAGACTGAGTTTGGGGTGTCCTTACTAGCTCTTGCCCTTTTGTGGTCCCCCTTATTCTTTAATATTAATAACTTCCTACCTTCTCTTTTCTAGACTCTTATGCTGAAAAGTTAATAAGGCACCCTCCCAACCCCTGTTGCATATTCTCTCTCCCCCTCACTGCAGTTAGTCCCAGACTAAAAGCTAGAGAGAAGGAAACTTACTTTTTCTTCTCCAAGTGACCATGAACTCCCACCGTGTTTCCATTCTCTGAGTTACCATGAACTCCCACCAGAACCCATCTGTCTCTGTTTACTCACCAGAAATGTCAGGTATATATTCATGTATTATAATGCATAGGCTTTGTAGTTGTTTTTTGAGGGGTGCTCTGATTGGGTCTTTATTATAACCTGCAAGTAGACCTCTTGGTTATCCAGTATGCAGGTTTGAATTTCTAGAGTAATCATTAGTAAAATAGAAACGTAATGTATAATCCCTAAATTATTAGTGGGGGAAAATAGAATAATTTTTAAAAGTCAATCCAAAAGCAATCAAGAAGAGAAGTGAGGGAAATCATATAACCGATGGGGAAAATAGCACAAAATATGATTATAGATTTAAACCCAAATATATCAATAATGACCTGAAATATAAGGGGAGTAAATGTTCTTGTTAAAAGACAAAGATTGTCAGATTGGCAAAAACAAAATATAATGATGTGTTGTTTATAAGTGAGACATCTACATGTAAGGATACAAAAAGGTTCAAAGTAAAATAGTGGAAAAAAATAGCACAAAAACAAATATTCATAGCAGCATTATTCACACTAGCCCAAAAGTAGAAATAACCCAAATGTCCATCAACTGATGAATAGGTAAATGAAATGTGATATATCCATACAATGAAATATTATTCAGCCTTAAAAAGGAATGAATTTCTGGATGAGTGTAGTGGCTCACGCTTGTAATTCCAGCAGTTTGGGAGGCCAAGGTGGGAGAATTGCTTGAGCCTAGGAGTTTGAGATCAGCCTGGGCAACATAACTAGATGCTGTGTCTACAAATAATAAAAAAATTAGCTGAGTGTCGTGGCCTGTGTATCTGGTCCCACCTACTCGGGAGGCTGAGATGGGAGGATTGCTTGAGCCTAGGAGGTCAAGGCAGTAGTGTGTTGTGATAATACTACCGTACTCCAGCCTGGGCAACAGAGTGAGACCCCATCCCTCCACAAAGAAAAGAAAAAAATTCTGACACATGCCACACCATGGATGAATCTTGAAGACATTATGCTATGTGGAATAAGCCAGACACAAAAGGCCACTTATTGTATGATTCTGTTTATATGAAATGTCGACAATAGTTAAATAGTGTAAAATTATATCACGTAAATACTAACAGTTGGTATTGCTACATTAATTTTAGACAAAATAAACCATAAGTCAGAAAGCATTACTGTGCATGTAAAAAGGAAATCTTATAATGATAAAAGGTTCAGTTTACTAGAAGATATAACAATTAGGCTGCACATGGTGGCTCATGCCTGTAATCCCAGCACTCTGGGAGGCTAAGGGTAGGAGGATCATTTAAGCCCAGGAATTCAAGACCAGCCTGGGCAACATAATGAGAACCCATCTGTACAAAAAAAAAAAAAAAAAAAAATAGCCATGCATGATAGTGCATGCCTGTCCTGTCACTGTCCTATCACTATCAGTAGCCCTGCCTACTCAGGAGGCTGAAGTAGGAGGATTGCTTGAGCCTGGGTGGTCGAGGCTGCAGTGAACCATGATCGTGCCACTGTACTCCATTCTGGATGACAGAGTGAGACCCTGTCTTAAAAGTAACAATTTAAAATCTGCAATTCCCTAATAACCATAGTTCAAACTATGTAAAACAAAAACTGACAGAACTACAAGGTAGAAGAGTCAAATTGATCATCATTGTGGGAGAGATCCTGTACATCTCTCAGTAATTGATAGATCAGGCTGAGCAAAAAAATCATTTAATGCTCTATAGATTAATTGGAACCACCACATTTCAGGAATCTGATCTAATGGGCATACTTATCTAAGACAAATATAGAATGGACACTGTTTTCAAACATATACCATATTTATGAAAATTGATCATATAATGTGCCTTAAAGCACATTTTAACTAATTTTCTAAAGTTTGGTAATATACAAAACAGAAAAATAACAAAAAGCAGATAATTTTATGTTCATAATTAAGAACTATAGCTCTAAAGTCTAAATGACCTGTGTTGTAAAGACAAAAATCGTAGCCAACAATATGTGAACGGAAAACAAAGATATAGTAGAAATCAAGAAGGCCAAAAGTTGGTTCTTTGAAAAAAACTAATAAAGTTGGTTCTTTGAAAAAACTGACGAGCCTCTGGCATGCTTGGTCATGATAAGAAGAAGACAGATAAGCAGTATTAGGAATGCAAAATGTAATGTTTTGGTTTTTTTAGACATCAAAGGTTAAGAGCATAAAGGCCTAAGCTTAAGAGGTGAAAGGAGAACTTTTAGAAAAAACATAGGGGAAAATCTCTATGACTTGTATGTCAATGTTTATAGCAGGTTTTTTGTAATACCCCAGAACTGAAAACAATCCAGGTGGCCATCAACATGTGAATGGATAAACAAATTGTGGCATATCTATATAATGGAATATTACTTAGCAATTAAAAAGAATAAACTATTATCAAACCAGTAACATGGATGAATCTCACAATATGCCAAATGCAAGAATCTAGGAATAAAAAGAGTACTTACTGTATGATCCCATGTATATAAAATTTTAAGTAATGCAAAGTAATCTGTAGTGACAGAATACAGATGAATGGTTCCCTAGGGGTTGAGTAAAAGAGGCCAAGGAGGGTCAGTATGGGTGGAGAACTAAGGAGTATGAGGAAGAACATAATGGATATGTTAACTTATTTTAGTTGTGGTGATGGTTTCACAGGGTATACATACTTCAAAACTTACCAAAATGTATACTTTAAATATGTGCAGGGTTTTGTATGTCAATTATACCTTCATAAAACTTGGTATGAGAAAATTCATTGGAAACTAGTCTCACTTGTGAACATGTATATAAAAATCCTAAACAGATTGGTAGAGCTTTACATCAGGAAGATATAAAAAGGATAATATATTATGACTAAATTGATTTTATTTCAAATATACAAGGTTTATTTAATATGAGGGAAGTCAGTTAATGTTAATTTATCACATTTTCATATTAGAGAAAAATCAAGATGATCACCTCAATAGATGTGGAAGAAATGTTTAATAAAATTCAATATTTAGTCATAATAAAGTCTTCATCTTAGAGAACAAGGAATATAAAGTATTTCCTTAAAGGTAGCTGCAGAAAAACTTACAACAAACAGACTTAATGTTCAAACATGAAATCTTTTCTTATAATATGGGGAATATGACAAGCATGTTTGTTTTGCTATGAACACTTCTGACCAATACTGTTCTATAGATCGCAGTCAGTGTAGTCTGGCAAGACAAAGCTATACAAGATATGCATATTGAAGAGGAAAAAACAGTACTCTTATCATTTGTAGATGATGCAATTATGTATGTAGGAATTGCAAAGCAACCTGTAGATAGATGCTAAGAAGGTTAGACCAATCAATATAAACATAAATTTTGTATTTTTGTTGCTAGTAATTGTGTAAAAATGAAAAGTTACTGTTTGCAATCTCATTAGCAAAAAGTTTCTATGAGTAAGTCTAAGAAGTCTCATGTTACATTTATGCAGAAAATATTAAAACTTGACTGGCAAACATTAAAGATTAAATAAATGGAAAGAAATATTTTTCAATTATCTTTTCTTCTATAAGGTGGGAGCACTTGCTCTACTAGTTATTAAGGCCTCTTAGGGTTAAGAAAATTTGATATTGGCAGAAGACTAGACAAATAGATGAATGGAACGGAGCCCAGAGCCATAAATAAATGCACACACATATGGATGCCTAATTTATGGTAAAAGAGGCAGTGCAGAAAAGATGACCTTTTCTATAAATAATGCTGGGAAAATTGGATATCTCTTTGGTGGGAAAAAAAACCTGGATTCCTCTACACATCATACAAAACAATTCATTTCATTGGATTTTAGATCTATATTTGAAAGGTGAAACAACACTTTTAGAAGGTAATGTAGGAGACAGAATTTGAGACAAGCAAGTAGGCCTTGAATATTGTGTCAAATAGTTTGGACTTTTAATTTCCCTACATAATAGGAGTTGCTAAAGGATTTTGATCCAAGGGTTGGCCATTCAGATTTTTTTTTTTTAAAGACAACTTTTGGTATAATTTAAGTTAGATTGTAATTCTGTTTCTGGCCATGTCTGAGACTTTATCGTCTGAAGACTTTTCAGTTACAAGACACTTAAAAATGCAGATAAATTCCAACAAACACTTGAAATGACAATCTGTAATTGGAAGATACCAAGGAAAGATTGGAGGTTAAATATGAATTTATATTTGAGGCTACTTATATTCCCCACCCCCTTTATATCTTGAATGAGAAACCTAGGTCACTAATTTTCAGTTATTCATTTTGAAAAGAAGAATCACACATCCTTCCTTCACACATACACTGGGTATCTAGCATTTTGATTCCGCTTATAGATTTTGGAAACACAGCTAGAGCAGTGTGTTTGGGAAGGAGAATGATTTCTTTAACATGTTGAACATATTGGAGAAGTTATTTTAGGCAGGTGTTAGCAATAAGAGTAAAGGAATAGAAATGAGAGCAGTTGGAAAACACTAGAAAGAACATTGTTACTAGAACTACAGTTTCTGTTATAATTAGGCATGAAACACTTATATTCAGAAATGTTTAAGTCATACTTTTTAAAAACTACTCTAAAATATGCAGAAAATAATTTTGAGTTGAACATAAAGTGGTAGCCATTCTAAAGAAATTGTCCAAAGGTGTAACGATAATGTAAATCTAATATAATAGAAACTAAAGCGTCATATACATTTCCAGACATTTAAAAACCCCCTAGATTGCTATCTATTAAAAACAAACTACTGTATTTTTTCTTTTTAAGAAAAACAGCTTTATTGAGATACAGTTCACAGTGATGGCAGCGGCAGGCCATCTGGAGTGGCCACCATCATCATGCCTGCTGTATTGGGGAGGTGTAGCCGGGGCTGCACATTCCACGGAGCTTTTGGAAACTGGGGACAAGTGGGAATCCCACCCCTTTTGAGTCGGTGGGATGGGAGCTCCCTGGGTGCAGCTGCAGCCGCCCAAGTTGTGGCTGTGGACCTGGGCCTCCCTGTGCTCTTGCGGGGGCCTGGGTGCAGACAGGGGTCCAGCCCTCCCAGGTGCAGCTACAGCTGCCCAAGTCATGGCTGTGGAGCCTGGCATTCCTGCACTCTGGGGGGCCTGGGAAGGCTTCCCCTGTCCCTGCAGGATCAGAGGTGTCTGCTTCCACTGCCTGGCCTCTCCCCACTCCTGCGCCTGCTCCGATCTTGGAGCAAGATTGGGGCCAAGCCTGGGTGTTGTTGCAGCCTGGCTGGTTGTGCGCACTCTTGGGGTTAGTGCTACATGCCAACCCCCTGCTGCCACAGCCCCCTCCAGACTTTGGGTGCCGATGAGCTTGGGTGGGAAGCTGAGGGTGTGGCTGAGGGCAGCTTGGCACTGGCCTGCAGGTGCCCCTTGGCACGAACAGCTTGGGCACCATGAATGGCAGCAGGAGGCAGACAAAGCTCCTGGGCAGAAGGGGGTGGGTCCGTGGTGAGACCCACCTTCAGGCTAGGGAGGGCCTGAAGGTTGGCCAGGCTGCCAGTCCCACAGACTGGAGTGGGAACTTGTGGTGCTTTTTCTGGGCCTGCCCATGGCCACCCCATGGACCAATTGGTGTGCACTTCCTTCCCCCGAGTCCCATAAAAGCCCCGGCTCAGCCAGAGCTAAGTGGACATCAGGAGGACCAACTTCAGAGAGGAGCTACCCCCTCCAGGGCCACCTCTCTGCTGAGAGCTGCAGATGTCAGGATGACCAGCTGCAGAGAGGAGCTACCCACTCCAGGACCTCCTCTCTGCTGAGAGCTGAACAACACTCAACATGACGACCTGCCTGTAGAGAGGAGCTGCCCACTCCAGGATCTCCTCTGAGCTATTCTGTCACTCAATAAAGCTCTTCTTCGCCTTGCTCACCCTCCACTTGTCTGCATATCTTGTTCTTCCTGGACTCAGGACAAGAACTCGGGACCTGTCAGATGGCAGGGCTGAAAGAGCTATAATACAAACAGGGCTGAAACATGCCCCTTGCTTGCCATTTTGTGGGTGAAGAGGAGAGAAGAGCTGCAGCCCTTCAGGGAGCCCAGACCTGGGAGCTCCCTGAGCCAGGGCTGTGACTTTGGAGCCCTGCAGTTCCTGGAGTCTCCAAGCTTCCAGGCACCACCACGTTCCCCAGTGGCAGCCGTGGAAGCTGCTTGCAGTGTGCCTGGTCCAGCCACAGCCTCACAGAGAGCCAGCACCTGTGCCAACACCTGGAGCTGCCCGCCCCGGTGCAGCAGCCGGCATGCCAGACTGTGTGCAGTGGCTGGACCTCACACTTGCTCTCTCAAACACCCCTTGCTGCCCCATGCCTGGCTTGCCCCTGGCAGGCATGGGATACAGGCTGGTAGTGTGAGCCGAGCGCAGTCAGGTCGAGTGGGTGGAATGAGCCCAGCAGGTCTAAGCAAAACTGAGGCAGAGGCACTACCAGCCACAGAGGTTTCCAGCCAGAAAAGCGACCCTGACAAGGACCCCATAATAAGAGCTGTACAGTTCACTCATTTTTTTTTTTTTTGAGATGGAGTTTCGCTCTTGTCACCCAGTCTGGAGTACAATGGTGCGACTTCAGCTCACTGCAACCTCCACCTCCTGGATTCAAGTGATTCTCCTGCCTCAGCCTTCCAAGTAGCTGGGATTACAGGTGCGTGCCACCGCACCGAGCTAATTTTTGTATTTTTAGTAGAGATGAGGTTTCACCATGTTGGCCAGGCTGGTCTCGAATTCCTGACCTCAGACGATCCACCCACCTCAGCCTCCCAAAGTGCTGGAATTACAGGTGTGAGCCACTGTGCCCAGCTCAGTTCACTTATTTAAACTGCATAGTTCAGTGACTTTCAGTATATTTACAAAGTTGTGTAACCATCACTACAGTCAATGTTAGAACATTTTCATCACCCCAGAAACCTTAAACCCTTTAGCCATAACTCCCAACCTTCCCCTCATCCTTCCAAGCTCTAGGCAACTTCTAATATACTTTCTTTTTCTATAGATTTGCCTGTTTGGGATATCTTGTATAAATGGAATCATATAATATGTGGCCTTTTGTGTCTAGCTTCCTTAGCAAAGTGATTACAAGATTCATCCATGTTGTTGTAGCTGTTGGTACTTCGTTTATTTTTATTGAGGAATACTGTTCCATTGTATGGATATACCACATTTATTCTATTTATCAGTTGATGGACTTTTGGGTTTCTTCCACTTTTTTGGCTATTATGAAAAGTGTTGCTGTGAACATTAGTGTAAAAGTTTTTTTGTGGACATTGCTGGATCATTTGGCAACTCTTACGTTTAACAGAGGAACTGCAATACTCTTTTTCCAAAGAGGAACATCATTTTACATTCCCACCCATCAGTCAGTGTATGAGTGTTCCAGCTTCTCTACATCCTCATCAAAAGCTGTTAATTATCTGTCTGATTATAGTCATCCTGGTGGTTTGGAAGTGGCATCTCATTTGGTTTAATTTGCTTATGCTTAATGACTATTGATGTGGTTTTGTGTATCGTCTTTGGAGAAATGTCTATACAAATTTTTTGCCTAATTTTTTAAAAATATTTTTCGTTTTTGGAGATGGGGTCTCACTGTGTTCCCCAGGCTAATCTCAAACTCCTGGGTTCAAGCAATCTGCCCACCTCAGCCTCCCAAAGTGCTGGGATTATAGGCATGCACCACCGCGCCTGGCCCTTTTGCCTACTTTTAAATTTTATTATTTGTCTTTGTATTGTTTAGTTGTTCAGTTGTAATGTTCATTATATATATTATCAAATATATGATTTACAAATATTCTTAGGTTATATTTTTACTTTCCTGATAGTATCCTTTGAAGAAGAAAAGTTTTTAATTTTGATGAAGTCCATTTTTTTTTTGGTTGCCAAGGTTTAGGTGTCTACTATATTTTCTGAATGCCTTTGAAAATAATTTTTGTAAATCACTTGATCCTGCATTAAAATATAATCATGCTACAGTTATTTTGTTAGCATTAAAGACTGATAAGCCGGGTACCATGGCTCACGTCCGTAATCCCAGCACTTTGCGAGGCCGAGGCAGGTGGATTGCCTGAGGTCAGGAGTTCGAGACCAGCCTGACCAATATAGCGAAACCCCATCTCTACTAAAAATACAAAAATTAGCTGGGCGTGGTGGCGTGCGCCTGTAGTCCCAGCTACTTGGGAGGCTGAGGCAGGAGAATTGCTTGAACCCGGGAGGCGGAGATTGCAGTGAGCCGAGATTGCACCACTGCCCTCCAGCCTGGGCAACGGAATGACACTCCATCTCAAAAAAAAAAAAAAAAAAAAAAAAAAAGAAAGACTGATAAACGTTATTGTAAGCAGCAGTGTTTACAATTCTTTTAATTTTGCCTGAAAATTATTTTACAGCTCTATAGTATCAACCCTCCTTGCTCTTATGGATGGATTAGATAATAGGGGTGAAATTGTTGTTATTGGTGCTACAAACAGACTTGACTCTATAGATCCTGCACTCAGGAGACCTGGTCGTTTTGACAGAGAATTCCTCTTCAACCTGCCTGATCAAAAGGTAAGAGTTTTTGTTTTCAATATGTTAACATTTATATGTAATTCTACTATAAGGCATATGTTCTGAGGGTGATATTTTATGAATTTTCATTGTTCAGATTTTCTGCTTAAGGATATCTTAGCTAATGCTTTAAAAACCTATGTAATTATGGAACAGTTTTTTTCTATTAACAATTATAAGAAAGTTTGTGATTTTTAGGCAGCAAGAGGAAAGCTCTTGATAGATCACTGTAGATGCTTACTTGTGCTTTAGTTCTCCAGATTGTAGTAATTGTCCTGTATGGCAGTTTCTGTGTCCCTAGTTAGCCAAAGTAACTTTATTCTCATAAAATAATGTTTTTATAGAGTATTAGTGGGTTTATGAATAAGGACTCAGTACCTGAATTTTCATAGAAATTGCTATATTTAATTAAAAGCAACAAACTTTATTCATTATGGTATAAAGTTTTTTTAAAAGAATGTACTAATAATACAGGGTAATGTTTATCATTGATTCTGTAAATGTTATATGATATACAAATTTTTTTTTCCCAATTCAACTTCAAACTTTTAATATTATTCTTGGTTTGACTAGTATAATCTGACTGGCTTTTCATTAGAAACTCAAATTTGAGAGGAAGAGATACATGCAAAGGAGGTACTGTATGTGAATATGTATAGCTTTGTTTTTGGACCTCTATGTGAAATGCCTGGTTTACATACCTAGTTGTGAAAGTCTTAAGTGATTCGGACTGTATGGAAGACCATAGAGAAACAAAGGCAATGGCTTCCCTGTGTAGAGCAGTTCATACCTCAGTTTGACATCAGTCTCCACAGTCACCAGTAGTTGACTCAGATTTGGATTGACAATTCAATTTACAGGCTTTAAATTGGCACCAGGTTATTTAGCTTTGTCAGGACAGGAAACATAGCATATACAGCATTATTTTCATTGCCCAAGTGCAGCCTTCAGGAATGTATCAGTGCATATTGGTGTGTTTATTTGTAGTAGATAGGGCTGAAGTAGGTACAGTCTACTTCCACATGGGGAAGCATCAGCTTTTTTGTTTGGGACATCTAACAACAGTCCAAGCACAGCTTTTATACTCTTCAGTACATTGGGAAATGTGCTTAGTTCTGAGACACAGCACAGGAAAGCCATTTCCTTGATTTCCCATTTGTCTTCTGTACTATCTTAGCTAAGTAGGCCTCAGAGTCTATATGCCAATCACAGCCCTTACAGTCCAGGTTCAGTTCACACAAATCAAGGGTTTAACAGTAAACAAGGTTTAGAACAGCACTGTCTAATAGAATTTTCTGTGATGATGGAAACGTTCTATTTTGGCATTGTTCTTCGAGCAGCGTGCATTTTGGTAGACACTAGCCGTATGTGGCTATTGAGCACTTAAAATGTGGCTAGTGTAACTAAAGAACTGCATTTTAAATTTTATTTAGTCTTAGTTAATTTAAAATTTAAATAAAATGGCATTATGTGGCTCATGGCTTACTATATTGCACAGCATGGATCTTGAACATCGTTTTCCACATTAACTTTCCCTTTCTAACATTTCGAGGAAACAGTTTTGTGAGACTGAAATCTAAGTCATTCTTCTCAAGCCTGGGTCTGTGGAAAGGCCTATGCTGGCTGTTTACCTTTTTCCCTTAAATAGTTTTTAAGGTCCCGAGACTAGATGAGATTACCAAGTCTTCTCTCTTACAGAGCAGTCAGTAAGGTAAGAGGAAAACTAAAGACAGTGGGGTGTTCTGGTAGCCAAGTGAAGAAAATGTATCAATGAGGAGGGTGTGATTAACCATGTCACGTGTTGCTAAGTCCATTCAGCTAAGCACAGAAAATTCGTCATTGTATTTATCATGATGTAGGTCGTCAGTGAATCTGATGAGAACAGTTTCAGTTAGTAGTGGGTGCAAAAGCTTAATTGGAGTGTGTTAGTTCAAGAGAAAATGGGAAGGAATTGGAGGGAGTGAATATAGATATGTTTTAAAAAGAGTTTTTCTGCAAAGGGAAGCAAATAATTTAGGTGATATGATATTGAAGGAAGCAGGGGCAAGATAATGTGTTTCATTGTTTTCAAGATGGAAGAAATATCTAGTAGAAAAGGGAATTTTTATGTGAAATTGAGAGATGTCCTCAATAGGCAAAAAGTGATAGGATTTAGCGTAAAAGTGGTGTGAATGACTTTAGATAGGAGCTGGCTAGTTCATCTGTGACAACAGAGAGAAGACAGAATATTGTTGGCACACATGCTGATGGGTGGACATCTTTGGTGATTAGGATGTGGGGAGTCTGGGGAAGTTTTTTTCTGATTGCTTCAGTTTTCTCAGTGAATTGGGAGGCACGGTCATCAGCAGAGTGTGAAGATGTGCTGTGAAATAGTCTGCTAGGAGAAAGGCATAATGAACGGCCTAGGGAAGTATTAAGGGTAGTAATAAGGACCCATTTGGGTCATTAATTTAAAGTGATACCAGTCAGTGTCTCAGTCCTATGGTTTGGCCAATAGAATATCATGACTCTTGCTATTTCATTAAGTAAAAGATTAATAAAAGTAAATCTTGGTTTCAAATTTTAATAATTTTGTTAACTATTTGCATAAAATAGTACACATCTTCTATATGCAATAATGCTTTTTAATTTCTTTTATTTTCCTTTATCATCATTTTTATGATTGTTGTAAGTAATATATATTTGTATGTGTACTTGTGGATTCTGAAAAATGAGGAGCTTGAATTTGCCTTTGATGTTTAATAGTAGAGGAAGGTACTTTCTATTAGAGGAAGCCCTTTGACTTACTATTCGGTTTGCCATATAGAGTAAAATACATAATGAACAGTTCTTGATTTCTACATTTAAGTATTTTTTTCTTCATTCCATGTCTTGTTTTTAGTATGACAAAAGGAAAGTGACTTTGATTGGGTTATATAGGGAAAGAGCATTATTAGGGACCTGAAGATAACTTGCTAACCTTAGATAATTAATTTCATTACTTTAAACCTCTTTTTAGGGAAAGGAGAGGATAAGAATGGATCTCTTTTTGGGATATCTTCCAGCATAATTTTTTTTTTACATGTTCTTTATTTTTTAAGGGTCTTGTAATCACCCTTAGCAGCACACTGCCTGTGCTGCTAATGAAGTTTGTATAGATTCTTAATGTCATCTTACAGAATATATATGCTGTTAGGTTGATATTTCTTTTGGACCTTCTTTTTTTAGTATCTGTTCAAGCAGATACTTCAAGTTGGAAGAAAATAAGTGTCATATCATTGCTTTAACTTTCATAGCTGAATGCCTAACTTAGAACTTGGAATTGAAACTGTAGCTATTGATTCCAGATTTTGTCAACTTTTTGAGCAAGATTTATCTTGATGACTTTGAAGTTGTTCTGTTTTGTTGCTGGACCCCAGATTCCTCATCAAGCCAGTAAGGTGTTATCATCTTGGTTATAATTTACTTTTTCATGTCTCAAGAAGCTTAGACAGCAGTGTTGAGGGAACAAGCATACTCAATTTTTAAAAAGTGTTGTAATTTTCTCCAAAGAGTGCAGATGTGAAAACAAAATTCTGATCTTACCGTTGGTGGTGGATAGTATCAGCTGATTATAGATTCTTATATGTTAGTGTTTTTTTAAGAAAACTATTTTAGGCTGGGTGTGGTAGCTCACGCCTGTAATCCCAGCACTTTGGGAGGCTGAGGTGGGCGGAACAGTTGAGGTCGGGAGTTCAAGACCAGCCTGGCCAACATGGTGAAACTCCGTCTCTACTAAAAATACAAAAATTAGCCAGGTGTGGTGGTGGGTTCCTGTAATCCCAGCTACTCAGGAGGCTGAGGCATGAGAATCACTTAAACCTAGGAGGCTGAGGTTGAAGTGAGTAAGATCACACCACTGTACTCCAGCCTGGGTGATAGAGTGAGACTCAGTCTCAAAAACAAAAAAAACTATTTTAGAAAAATAAATTTCTGTTTGTTTTGGAAGCAAGACATTAAAATTTTGATTGTGCTATATGCAGTCAGATTTAAGCTAGAGAATGCTGAAATCAATGTAAAATTGTTTATAACACTTTGATCTTTCAATGAATTTAATTGATATTTATTGAAATACCTTGTATTAAATGCCAAAGCATCAACTAACTGACAAAGTAATAATATGCTTGATTTTTTTTCTCCCTTTGAGACAGGATCTCACTCTTATCACCCAGGCTGGCATGCAGTGGCGTAATCACAGCACACTGCAGGCCTCGACCTCTCAGGCTCAAGTGATCCTCCCACCTCAGCTTCCTGAGTACCTGGGACCACAGGCGTGCACCACCATGCCCAATTAATTAAAAAACAATTTTTTTGTAGAGACAGGGTGTCACTATGTTGTCCAGGCTAGTCTTGAACTCCTGGACATAAACGATCCTCCTACCTCAGCATCCCAAAGTGCTGGGATTGCAGGTGTGAGCCACCACAACTGGCATGCATGATATTTAATTAAACTTGAATACTTTCCAAATTAAAAACTTTTTTCAAGTTTAAGTTACTTGTTATTTTGCTCATTGTTGATCATAATACCACAAATTCTATGAAATGTAAAGTTTGTTTAAAATTATGACTATAACTTTTATAACATGAAAGTTTTTTGTTCATATATTTTCAAATAGTAAAAGTGGTATGGTGGAAAAGTGAAATATAGTTTTGAATTCTAGTCCCAGATGAGTCACTTAGTTGTTATATGCTGCTAGTCAATTTTCTTCACCTCTCACAACATTAAATGTCTTAGGTTGTGAACACAGACAAGATCTCTACTACATATCTCCCAGATTTATTGTTGGAATCAGAGTTGATGTAGACAGATGCTAAGGTGTTTAAATTTTTTTTAAAATAAAAATTTTAATGGGATTGTTAGTCAAAATTTGTTCCACCTAACGTATTTGAGGGATTGATAATATTTTATCTGTACTTTTCTTCTTGGGCAAGATTTTATGTATCTGTGCTTTTCATCTTAGGCAAGAAAACACATCTTACAGATCCATACCAGGGACTGGAATCCAAAATTGTCAGATGCATTTTTAGGTGAATTGGCTGAAAAATGTGTTGGTGAGTGTTACTGTTTGAATTTTTTGATTGTCATTGTTTGTTCTGCTCAACCTCCCTTTCCCCTTATTTGGAATGTGAATGAGCATAGTTATGTTTTTGATTGTGCAATAGATTGTCTCTACCTTTATGTTTTAAAGTTATTTTGACTGTTTCACTTAAAGTTTGAGTACTTCTAAATTAGAATTTTAACTGCCATTAGGTGTTTAGTTAACAAAGCTCAATAATAACATGCCTTTCATTGAGTGCTGGGTATCCATAATATTAATACAGGGTCTCCTTTTGAATATCATTCCCTCTTAGAAATTTTACTAAGAAAAATAAGCTTGAACTTGAGAGAGAAAGGTCCATGTCAAAGCAGGACTGCAGCCTTTTACTTTTACTTTGCAGATTACACAACGGGCTTATTTTCATTCCTGTGGTCTAGAAAGAAGTTGGGTGGGAGAGGTCTTCAAAGAAAATAGTTAATTATATTTGGTAGTAGTTCCCCAAATATAAAACTTTCCAGTTTAACTTTAAATTTTTCACAGAGTGGAAGATCTCCCCACAGAGTGAATGAACACTACTGTCCTTCTAGGATGTGGTGAGAGTGTTTATCTGCACAGATGATCACACATAGGAGATGGAATTCAGGGTTTTGGCTCTAATTAGGTCTGAAATAAAAAGGAATACAATGTTAGGCACCTGAATATACACATAGGTATTTCTCCTTCATTCTTTCCCCCTCTTTTGTCTGTTTTCCTCTCATACTCTGAAAAATATAAATAAAAAAAAAAAAACCCAATCTTCATGAACTTTTTAAGCATTATGAAGAAATCCCCCAAATAAGTCCACTAACAACAGCTTACTTGGGAAAACTTTAAAGTTACCAAAGCCAAAAAGAACAACTTAATTTAAAAAATCATTGTGATCCACCATCAAATAATTAAAACTTAAATAGAACATTAGTCCATTCAGTTAGCTACATCCAAATTATCCTCTTCATCCACAGGGACCTCCATCTCCGAAGCAGCATCCCTCAGCTTTTGAACCACAAAGACCTCGACATCTTCTGGTGAGGAGAAAACGTAAATCTCTCCAGCACTACTTCAGTTTAAGCTTTGCCTGGTATAAGAGAGCATGCGCCAAACACATTTCATGTAAATTTGGCTTGACCTTTGCAAAGCCTTGTGCTGCTTTATGGGAGAGGGTGGTATTTGGTATAAAATCCAGTCTTTTCCCTTTTTGAAAATAGACCCCTTTTATTTATGATGATATTTTACTAGAGTTCAGATCGGACTGGGAAATCTTTGTAGATTTTTCTGTGAATTTGTCACAGAATGATCCTTAACTGAAATAAGCAGAAGTCAAGTTGTCAAATCATTTTGGAAATTCCCTAAGAGATAGGTACTCTAAATTACTTTCTATTATACTGTCTACCATCTGAAATATTATATACTCTAGTTTAATTCTTCACCCCAAATATTAGAATCTTAGTTTCCTTTTGCATTTCCAAAGACAATACTTCTCATTTTTCCCAGTGATTTTTTTAGCTTTTAGGCAGTTTCTTAAGTTTTAAAATTTTCATGGTATAATTTCTTACAGGACTGATAAATTTCTCTTACCTTTTTTCCCTCCCCTCTGTGGGGTGGTAGTATGTGTGCAGACTCTGCTTATATACCATTTTCTTCCTGGACAGTGACATAAAAATCCATTATAATTAAATGACTTCTGTTTTTTGTTATGACATTCATTCCATCTGAGAAACCGGTTCACATTAAAAAAAAAATCAAATTCAGATCTTCAAACGGGCGTGAAATAGTAATTTTAAATCCATTACAAACTCACTAGTCTGTGTATGCCAAACATGTTTTAACATGAATAGGTTCAGTTCATTGAAATTTATGCCTCATAGAGTATGATGAACAGCTGTGAAGATAGCTGACCTTTTGTTAGAGGTTATGGATTTGGTAACTTTTACCTTGAAATTCCCAAGTTCTTAGAGGTTTTTGCATGCATATTGGGTGTGATTTTTGCATAGTGAAAAACTCAACATACATTGATATCAGGAACATTTGCATAAATAGTAGGAAACTTATGATTAATGAAACACTCAACTCTAATCATATTTTTCTATTCCATTTTCAATGAGAGGGCTAAAACAATGAAAGAGTCTCAATGAAGTGACTTATCTTGTGGGCCTTCATTATGTGTGATGCTGTACTTAAAACTTTATAAAATTTTGTTATGACCTTGTTTCTAGTCTAACCTCTTTAGTAGCTGTATTTTCAGTCTTTTTAGAACAATTTCTAGCTTAATAGCAGTATTCAGGAATGCTCTTTATTTGATAACTAAATGTGTTCACAGAGTATTAGAATTGTAATGGTAGATTTAGTATGGTTATGAAAGGGATGTTTATAATTTCTTTAATATTAACTTTTAACGCCTAAAAGGCTGTAGTATATTTTCAGTATTACTAGAATGATCATATTATTTATTTTCTAAACAAGGACGCTTTGAGAGTGAAAAGATGTGCTATTATGACAGGACAAGAGGCCTAACCAGCACATGTGGTTACCCTAAGTATAACCCATTTAGCCATGGTTATGATGCAATTTTAAAGTTTTAGAAGGAAGTATGTTAAATCAGTAGTTCTCAATTTTGTGTGTATCAGAGTCACTTCTAAAGCTTTCTTGAAATGCACATATGATTTCAAGCCCCCAGAGATTCTGATTCACTGGGTTTATTGTGGGGCTTGGGAATCTGTTTTTTTTTGTTTCAGTTTCAGTGTTTATTCAGATGGATAATCAAGGTGAGAACCACAGATATAAACTGGTAATTCTTACTTATAAGCGAATGTAAAAAAATTTCCTTCTTTATAAGTCTGTTGGTTATAATAATTAATGTGAAAATCTACTTCATTAAATGGGGTCTATTGATCATTTCTTTGTCTGGAATAAATCAATAAATAATACATTGCTGTTATATATGTAATTAACATGTTGTGGCAAACATAAATGTTATGGGTAACATTTACTACCTAAAATGCCTTCTAGTGGCTAATTATTTGTTTTGCCTAATAGTTTCTGAGTTTTAATTTTTTTAAACTTAGGCTTTTGCACTTAAAATAGGACCATATAATATGTTCATTAACTGTGTATATCCTTTTAAAGAAGAAATAGAAACGTGATTGTTTATGTTGTTTGAAGATGGTAGTATATTCCTATTTCCTCGGAAATGGAAGACATAATTCACATTCTATAATCATATACTTAGATTACTTTGTTAACTCTTTATAACTTTGAGCTAGTGTTCTATACATTATTGAATTAATGAAATGGGTATATATGCAAAAGGAAAAGATAATTTTTTTCCAGGTTTCTTTGAGAAATAGAAAATAAAACGAGACACTAGTGGTAAATTTGGTTATCTGAAGAATTATTTGTGAGATAGATCACTGTCATGGAACAATGTTAATGCGTAATCTGCTTATAGTCTTCTGAATTAAGTTCTTCTAGGTCATATTAAGTTTTTCCCTAACTTTGAATAGGTTTTTCTTAGTAATCACCATTTTTAGTTCAGTATTTAAGTGTTCTATAAGGTCATTGTGAGGTATAAAAAGATAAATAGGCCAGGTGTGATGACTCATGCCTGTAATACCAGCACTTTGGGAGGGTGAGGCAGGAGGATTGAGGCTAGGAGTTTGAGACCAGCCTGGACAAAGTGAGACCCCTATCTCTACAAAAAAAAAAAAAAAAAAAAATTAGCCTGATGTGATGGCACACACTGTAGTCTCAGCTACTCAGCAGGCTGAGGCAGAAGGATTTCTTGAGCCCAGGAAGTCAAGGCTGCGGTGAGCCATGATCACCCACTGCACTTCAGCCTGGGCAACAGAGCGATAATGCTGTCTCCCAAAAATAAAATAAAAATAAACCTGGTATTGTTTGTTGAAGCTTAGTTAGGGTCTAATATTCTATAACTATTGGAATGGTTCCCCCTACTGGCATAACTGATAATTGTGGCCAAATGCAAGTTTAATTGCCAACAGGGAAAACAATATGGCTAGTTTGAGCTTTTCTTCCTTTTTGTGACAAGGATGCAACAGAGCATGTGTTTTTGTATGTATTTGTTACTCAGATGAATGAAATGACTTAAAAACAGTGGGGCTTGATCTGTTGTTTGATTGTATCATACATTAAACATGGGTAATAAATAATACCTTATGTTGGTATAACCCTTAGATTATCAGTCATTTTAAACTAAAAAAAGAAAATTAATGTGGAAAATCAGTGGAAATATTTTTAATGTTCTTATTTACTTTAATATATTTGGAACTATCAGATGAATTACAATTTTAAATGATAATTATGGGAGTAACTGAATGTTAATAGTTGGTTGTACTCAGAGTTGGTAGTAGAATAGCTCTGTTTTTGAAGTTTCTGTTTATATACTATTTTATACGTGTTTGGAAGTTAATAATATTAGAGAAAGTCATTTATAAGTGAGTATGATGTCATGAGGACTAACCTAATGATTAGGAATATTGATGAAGGACTGAAATGAAACTATTATTCTTTTAAAACTTTTTTCTAAAGAAAGTTGTACGTTGTAGGCCAGGTGTGGTGGCTCAGGCCTGTAATCCCAGCACTTGAGGGTGCTGAGGCGGGTGGATCACTTGAGCCCAGGAGTTTGAGACCAGCCTAGGCAATGTAGTGAGACCTCATCTCTACAAAAATAAATAAAAGAAAAGAAAAAAATTATACGAGTGTGGTGGCACATGCCCGTAGTCCTAGCTACTCAGAAGGCTGAAGTGGGAGAACCACTTGAGGCTGGGAGGTAGAGGTTGCAGTGAGCCGGATTGTGCCACTGCACTCCAGCCTGGCTGGGCAACAGAGTGAGACCCCTGTCTCTTGTTTATTTTTTGAGACCCTGTCTCTTAAAAAAAAAAAAAAGTTGTACATTGTAATCAGTTAATCACATAATACATGGCTTTTGTTTTAAAGCTCATATCAAGGACATATTTAAGATACATAGCTTGTTTTGTTTTAATATTGTTAGCTTATGTTTTTTTTAATTAAAAATATTCAAAACATTTTTAATCTTAATGTAAGTATTCAGCCCTTTATTCAAAGTTTTGTTTGGTGATTTTAAATGGCTAGTTTTCATTTTGCTGGTAAAATTGCACATAGTTATTGATTTAGTATTGATTATGACTTTAGCTAAAGATGTGTATATTTACAAAACATAGTTGGTGCATGGAATAATGAATGTACCTTTGCTATCCTTCTCCTTTTGTGTATTAGGCTACTGTGGAGCCGATATCAAGGCCCTGTGCACTGAAGCCGCCCTGATTGCACTGCGGAGGCGTTATCCCCAGATCTATGCTAGCAGTCATAAACTGCAGCTGGATGTTTCCTCAATAGTGCTTAGTGCCCAAGATTTTTACCATGCAATGCAGAATATCGTGCCTGCTTCCCAACGTGCTGTGATGTCTTCAGGGCATGCACTATCCCCCATCATAAGACCACTGCTGGAAAGAAGCTTCAACAACATCCTAGCAGTCTTGCAAAAAGTGTTTCCTCATGCTGAAATTAGCCAGAGTGACAAAAAAGAAGGTACTCTAAACTACTTTTTTATATTGTTAAGATGAAACAAATACAGGAATAAATAAATATAGTTTCCTCATAAGATTATTTATGTGTCACTTTTGTAATATATCTGTTTATTCAGTACTATATATTCCAGGCCTGGCATATTGCCTGGCATATGGTAGTTGCCTGGTGAATGTTTTTAAGACAAATGAATGAATGTTCACTTTTGGGACATTCTGATCATCTTAATGTAGGGCTATTACTATCTTTAGAAAGTTGACTGTAATAATAATAATAATAGGTTAACCTTTAAAGCCCCTAAATCATCACTTACTAATCCTTTTTTTTTTTTTTTTTTTTTTTTGAGATGGAGTTTCGCTCTTGTTGCCCAGGCTGGAGTGTAATGGCGCAGTCTTGGCTTACTGCAACCTCCGCCTCCCGGGTACAGCGATTCTCCTGCCTCAGCCTCCTGAGTAGCTGGGATTTCAGGCACCTGCCACCACGCCCGGCTAATTTTTTTGTATTTTTAGTAGAGATAGGGTTTCACCATGTTGGCCAGGCTGGTTTCCAACTTCTGACCTCAGGTGATCTTCCCACCTTGGCCTCCCAAAGTGCTGGGATTACAGGCGTGAGCCACCCCGCCCGGCCTGTTAATCCTCTTAACAGGCTTGCAGGTAAGCACTCTGATTATATAGAGCAGGGGAGTGGGAGATGTAGGCTGGTAATTTATTTTTTTTGAGACAGAGTCTCACTCTGTCACCTAGGTTGGAATGCAGTGGCCTGATCTTGGCTCACTGTAACCTCTGCCTCCCAGGTTCAAGCAGTTCTCCTGCCTCAGCCTCCCAAGTAGCTGGGATTACAGGCGTGTGCCGCCACGCCCAGCTAATTTTTGTATTTGTTTGTTTGTTTAGTAGAGATGGGGTTTCACCATATTGATCAGGCTGGTCTCCAACTCCTGACCTCAGGTGATCCACCCGCCTTGACCTCCCAAAGTGCTGGGATTAGAGATGTGAGTCATCGCGCCCAGCCTGGTAATTTAATTAATATAAGGTCATTCAATAAGTTCTGGGGACTGCCTCAACCCAGGGAGCCTGATGACAGCCCTTGCTCTTACCTATGTTGCTATAATGCTTCTTTGGATTAAACTAATCATTTTGTTGTTATTGGTAGGACACTCTGCAGTGTGCAGTGCTCATAGGAGTGTAAGGTATTGGTAAGGGAGTAAATAAGAACCTCATTTTAGAGGATCTTGAGTTTTGTCAAGCCTCAGATTGTACTTTGCACCTGAGATAAAAACAGAAAACTACCTTTAAAAACATCACTCATGGCTGGGTGCGGTTGCTCACGCCTGTGTAATCCCAGCGTTTTGGGAGGCCAAGGCGGGTGGATCACCTGAGGTCAGGAGTTCAAGACCAGCCTGGCCAACATGGTGAAACCCTGTCTCTTAAAAAATTAAAAACAAAAATAAATAAATAAAATTTAAAACATCACTCATTTACAGGAAAAACATTTAAAAATTACATTGACATTCTAATCAGAGTATAAAGCTCATAAACTTTGAAGGGAAAGTAATGTCTTTTGATTATCTTAATTTCTGCAGTTCCTAGCACCTTGTCTGGAATGCAGTCTGCACCAAATAGAAAATTATTCAGAGAATTATACTAACATTAAAAATATATATAGTAAAAATTATGAATATTGTTCAATGAATTCTTCTGTCATAAATATATTTTTCAGAAACTTTAATTGTTTAGTGACAGACTCACATAAGATACCACATGGAATACCTGATTTCTTAAATTTGGCAGACAGAGGGGAATGAATATTTTACTGAATATCTGTGAGCCAGGCACGATGCCATGATTTGTGTATTTTTTATTTCTGAATTTCATAACTGGAAATGTATTTCATATATATGTTATGTACCAAAACGTCCCAAAAAACTTACGTCACCTTTAGAAAATCATAAAAACCTCATCTTTCCTTTGGAGAGATTATCATAGCTTTTTATCTCCATTTGTGAATTACCATTTTATAGCATTATTATCTATGTTTTCTTATAGCTTTTTTTGTGTGTAAATATAAAGTATGCTTTAGTTCCAGTTGGTAGAACTAGTTGCCATGAACCAGTGGAGAAGAGCAACCAAATTTTATTTGATTATCAATAATTGGTTTTTAGCTATTTAGTCATATTTATTCTGGCTTGTTTTGACCTTTAATATTTTTCTTAGATAAATATTTCCTTGTGTATGAAATTATCACTCAAAAGATACTCAGTTATTTCCCAGATTAAACTATGACTTGTACTAAATATTTAGCTTTTTTTTTGTTTTGAGACGGAGTCTGGCTCTGTCACCAAGGCTGGAGTGCAGTGGCGCAATCTTGGCTCACTGCAAGCTCCGCCTCCTGGGTTCACACCATTCTTCTGCCTCAGCCTCCCGAGTAGCTGGGACTACGAGGCGCCTGCCACCACGCCCGGCTAATTTTTTTGTATTTTTAGTAGAGACAAGAGTTTCACCATGTTAGCCAGGATGGTCTCGATTAAATGTTTAGCTTTTAAAAGCCACTTGAGATCTCTATCTGCTAGCATAATTTAGCATCTCATTTTAGAATGCATCTGTATATTTTTTATTTTGAAAGGATATGATTTCTCTTAATCTTAATTCTCTCTCATATCCCGTACACATGTAGCATTGCTTTTTATTGAATGAATTGTCAGTTTTAATTAGGCATGTTTGAAGTATAGCAACAGCTGTTCATACTTCAGGTGGTAGTCCAGGTAAGGCTTTAAGTGTTGCATTCTCAGTAGAGATTTTAGTTCCAGTTAGTTCCCTGAGTGATAACCTAAGGCCCACAGAGAGAATAATGCTGTATGAATGAGTGTATTTTTAAGATTAGCTTTGACGGAATTTCTGACTCCATCTTAACTACACTAAGACTTCTTTGAAAAGGTGTATCCTCTTTAAAAAATAAGGGTCAGTTTGTTCCTTGTTGCTTTTATAAGAACTGGCCTTGACTCAGCTAACCTACTAATTAAACCAAATATGAAATGGACTGGTTTTGGTCAAAATTAACTCAGAGATTTTTAGTTAAATAGGTGGGATTTTATGAGAGTGCCACATCTTTTCCAGACTTGTTTTTTTTTTTTAAGCCAGTCAGTGAGTTCTTCCAAATTATATCTCATAACACTTAAGTAAATAGTCTGTAAAGGTGAAAGTGTTATATTAATTTTGTTTATAAGTTATTTTAAAAGCTGCAGTTTGTCAGTTTGCCTGTATTATTTGATAGATAACTTATTAATGTCATTTGATTTTTTAACCCAATTTTTCTTAGCTTTGGTAGGGCACGAATATTAAATGACTTTATAAGCCCCATAACCATTGTGATTTTTTTAAACAGATATAGAAACTTTAATTTTAGAGGATAGTGAAGATGAAAATGCTTTATCAATTTTTGAGACCAATTGTCACTCAGGATCACCAAAGAAACAGTCATCATCTGCTGCTATACATAAACCCTACCTTCATTTTACAATGTGAGTGATTTATATCAACTTTCTTTGTATTTAGAGTGATTTTTGATACTTTATGATTAGAATTATGGTATATTTTTACTTATGGTTATAACTGTGAGGATATTGTTTTTCTGTTGTTTGGACACAATTCTGGAAAACTTTTACTATGTATTCTTTTTCATGTGGTAATAGTTAGTTTGTTGGTTAACTACCTAGGTGTTTTTTTCTCCAAGTAGAAGAATCTTTCCTGCTACTTTACTTTTTTTTTTTTTTTTGGGAGGCAGAGTCTCACTCTGTCACCCAGGGTAGAGTGCAGTGGCATGATCTTGGCTCACTGCAACCTCTGCCTCCTGAGTTTAAGCTATTCTCGTACCTCAGCCTCCTGAGTAGTTGGGATTACAGGTGTGCGCTACCACGCCCAGCTAATTTTTGCATTTTTAGTAGAGATGGGGTTTCACTATGTTGTCCAGGCTGGTCTCGAATCTCAGGTGCTCTTCCCGCTTTGGACTCCCGAAGTGCTGGGATTATAGGCGTATGCCACTGTACCTGGCTAAGTTTACTTTTTTTTAAAGTAATGGTGTAAATTTTTTCCCCCATGGAGGCAGAGGAAAGCTTACCCTTAGAAAGTCAACTCATGAGCCCCAACTTTATTGCTTTTTCTTTAAACTAAAATGGGCAGAAATGAAATATTTGCCATGATCTGGAATACTTTAATTTGTAATAAACTTTAGATGATCATTTAGGTCTCTAAGGCTGCTAAAGAGATTTCGATTTAGAAATTGTTCAGTAATTAAATAACTTTTTGATTTTCTAGAAACATTATACTTGCATAATTTGGATTTTATGATTTTTCAATTTACATTTACCCTTTTATTATCTGTGTTAAAGCAAGTTTTGCTGTGCACTATAATAGGTAAACACTTTTAGTGCAAATGTAATTTTAAATTAAGAGGCCAAATAGTTTTCAAATACTAACAGCATCTTTACTTGCATTTACATAATTAGCCCCATAGTTGAAGGACCATAAAGCTTCAGTCAGGTAGATCTAATAGCACTTCTATTAGAAGAGGCCGGATTGTGTGTACTTTTAATATTTTGAACAAATTTAAGTCTCCAACTTGAAGTTTTCCCATGTAGATTTTGGTGAAATGTTGATTTGATTATTTGCATTGATAACCCTTTCTTGTTTTTCATTTTTAAAAATGAGCCTAAATTACTTTCATCTCCTCTTTTTTTCTTCATATGTTCTTTAATAGCAAACTCTTTGTAAGTTTTTTTCTTCTTCTCCAGATCCTTTCTTTTATGCTCTTGGGGAAGTTTTTTTATAGGCTATTCCAGCATTTTACAGATTTGTTTTATTGATAGTTATGGGAAAGCCAATTTTTTTTTTTTTTTTTTTTTTTTTGCTTTTCACCTGGCTAGCCTGTGCGTCTGTGTCTCTCTGTCTCTCTCTCTTTCTCTCTCTCTCTCTCCCCCCTCCCTCTCTTCTTCCCTCCCTCCCTCCGTCTCCCTCTCTTCTTCCCTCCCTCCCTCCCTCTCTTCTTCCCTCCCTCCCTCTCCCTCTCTTCTTCCCTCCCTCCGTCTCTCCCTCTCCCTCTCTTCTTCCCTCCCTCCTTCTCTCTCTCTGTGTGTGTGTGTGTGTGTAATGTGTGTGTGTGTGTGTGTGTGTGTAATGTG
Organism: Homo sapiens; assembly: GCF_000001405.40. NCBI lineage: Eukaryota > Metazoa > Chordata > Mammalia > Primates > Hominidae > Homo > Homo sapiens. Next base: position 23,818,090 of record NC_000002.12, on the reverse strand, counting down.
TGTGTGTGTGTGTTTATGTGTGTTTGACAGTTATAGTTATTTGGATTTGTATTATGTAGTAGCAGAAACTAAGTAAGTATCAAAAGACGTGTTTAATTTTATAAGATAATTGTCGTCAATAAAGGAATACAGAAATAGATTTTGATATTAGAAAGTATCATGTACAGTGTTAAGTTTGACTTTTTATTGAGGACATTTCCTGCCACTGATTTAATGTGAAACATTGGTATGGCTCATTTTGTTTTAGCTTTTCTGAAAGAATTGGTTTAATTTTAGCTTCCTTTACATAAGCTTTTCTAGTTCATTCATTTGACTTTGATTAAATAATGAGACAGCTATATGCTAGAATAAGCATTTTTTAGATGTTTTAATAATAATTATTCACTTATTTCTTTATTCACCTACCCATTTGTCCAATTTTTCTTTGTTTACCCTATGCCAGGCATTGTATGAGATGCTGAAAACATAAGCATGAATAAGATATAACATAGTTCTTACTTTGGAGAAGGTCTCATGGTTGGGGGTGACAAACATTTCAATATGGCGAAAGTGCTGTGAAAGCAGAACTAATTCTGCTGGAAGTCTGGGAAGGTTTCACAGGAGAAGTAGTGATATTTGCTGTCCTTTTCATTATGAAGGGATGGGAGTTTGCATCTGAGTGCTTTTTACAAATTAGATACTTGCTTGGTATGTAAAGATCTGTGCTTCATATTCAGTAATATATATAGGCCCCTTAACAATCATATTGCATTTGTGGTATCTTCATTTTATAGATGAGGAAAGTGAAGCACACAGAAGTTAAATAAATTGCCCATGATCCTGTTGCTAGCAGGTGGCAGAGCCAGACTCTGTGCTGTTTCCTAAGACCATATTTTTCCAAGTTATTTCTGAGCTTAATAAGTAGCTAGGGAATTGCATTGCTTCTTTAGGTAAGTTAAGCCATATATTTCACACTCTCCAAGAAGCATACACTTTAGAATTAAGGCCTTTAGTATGGGCAACATATAGTCTTTTTTGTTTGGTTGGTTTAGTTTTCTGTTTGAGCAAGATACGTTAGCATTACAGATCAATGCAGAAGAAAAGGTGCTCGGCCAGAATAAAGCATAACTTTAGTGCTGGTTTTCAGTCACACTAGCCTGGGTATTGCTGGTGAATTTCTGGGAATAGTCTCCTGAAACAATGTTGAAACCTTTTCTTTTTTACATTTAATATAAAGGAGAAGTCAAGATAGTTAAGGTTTACCAATCTGGTAGAGAAGCTTTATGATGGAAAATAAATTTTCTTTCTTACTTTATATTACCATAAGGGTGACTAGAAACAGAATTTTCTGAGGTTTTTCAAATGAAAATAGCTTTGTTTTTTCTGATTAGAAAGATGATATACACTGTAGAAAATTCAAGTAATAAAGAAGAGCATAAAGAAGAAAGTAAAAATTAAAGCCCCAGCACCTGCAGGTAATATTTGTTAAAGTTTTGGTGACCACACTTCCATGTCCTCTCTATGCATGTATAATGTATAGACCCATACATTATCTGGATTATATCCTCCTATAAGTTGTTAATATAACTTACTTTTTCATCCACTATGTTGGGAATATTATTTCATGTCAGTGTATGTTTAATATGACTGTTTTAAGATAGCTGCATATTATCTTACACTTTGGATATTCCATAATTTATAGACCCTTATTGGTAAAATTTGAAGTTTTCAAGTTTCTTCTTTTATGAACAATAGACTTGTTTCTAAGTATACATCTTTACACCACTATCTGATTCAAAGCATAAGGTAAATTTTAAGAACTGCAATTGCTGTGTCAAAGAGTGTATACATTTAACATGTTGACACAGATTGTTAAATTGCTTTCCAGAAGGCTTGTACTAGTTTACATTTCTCATACTAATGTATGAGAGTAGTATTTTTCTTATACCATTGTCAATTCTGAGCACTGTCTTTTAAAATCTTTACAAACCAGATAGATGAATATAATATCTTTTTGTTTAGTTGACTTGTTCATTTGTTCTTTCATATATTCATTCACTCATTCAAATGTTTTGTAAAAGTGCCCATCATGTTCCAGACATTGTCCTGGGTAGTTGGGGTAGGTCAGTGAACAAAATAGGGTAAGATCCTGGCCCTCATTTAACTTATATTTTTAAACAGAGGAGACATTCAGTAAAATAATAAATGTAATAGCTTGCTAGATAGATAAACTGTTAGAAGATAAGTACTATGGGGAAAAAATGTAGAAGATAGTAAGAGGCTGGGGAATCCCTAGGAGTGGAGTGAGTTATTGAATACTTTTGGGCATACATTTTGGCATATTTAGATCTATCACATATAATTTCAGAAAAGTTGTGCTTTTCTTCCACTAGTTGTGAGGATATCAATTTTGCCATCCTCTCATTGATAATGGGCATTACAATTAATTTTTGGTTTATTAATCTAACAGATAAAAGATGTCCATCATTATTTTCATTTATATTTTCTCATTTTTTAAAAATCTCTGTGTTAATGACTACCATTTTGTTCTCAAGCCTAGATTGCTCTTGAGCTTCAGACCCTGACCAGTGGCCCATCTCCCCTTTGTTGTACCATGGATCTTTCCGTACATAGCTGGACTGTATCATACGCCCCTTCTCTTCCTGTGACTCCTATGAGCCATCATTCATTCAGTTGTCTCAGCTAGAATTTGACATCATTCTCAACTTCTTTCCTTTTATTTCTTTCTTTGTCTAGTCAATGACCAAGTCTTTCTGATTTTTCTTACTAAGTAAGTCTCATCGCAGGCTATTCCTTCTTTCTCTAACACTATTCTTGTTGAACTGTCATTCACATGTCATGCCTGGGTTACTATAGCAGATGCCTGATTATCTTTCCTCTCATTTGCCTTCTTTCAAAACCCTTTCCCATACTGACAATGCTGAGATAGAGTTATCTTCCCTAAACATGTATATGATTATCTTGTTCCTCTAAAGTATCTTAATGCTTCCCCATTGTCTTCAGTACACATTCCAAACTTTTTTTTTTTTTTTTTGGAGACGGATTTCATTCTTTTTGCCCAGGCTGGAGTGCAATGGTGTGATCTCAGCTCACTGCAACCTCCACCTCCCAGGTTCAAGTGATTCTCCTGCCTCAGCCTCCCAAGTTGCTGGGATTACAGGTGCCTGCCACCACGCCTGGCTAATTTTTTTTGTATTTTTAGTAGAGTCAGGGTTTCACCATGTTGGCCAGGATGGTCTCGATCTCTTGACCTCATGATCTGCCCGCCTTGGCCTCCCAAAGTGCTGGGATTACAGGTGTGAGACACTGCGCCAGGCCACATTCCAAACTTTTAACGTGGCTTACAAAACCCTTTGTAGCCCTTCATAGTCTAACTTACCTTCTTTTTTCTCTCCCCACCCTAGTACCTTTACTGTACCCTCCACAACTTGTCCCCAGTACTTCAAAACAAACAAACAAAACCAAAACTGGCTGTATGAACTGTATTAGTTACCCCAAAGAGCCATGTTCTTTTTAACTGTTGGTCCTTTGCACATCCTGTTTGCAGTCTTGGAATTCATCTCTTGTACCTCCAATCTTTTGGGTTTCTGCCTTGGTAACACTTTTCCAGGAATGCCTTCTATGAGTCTCTAATTGGTATCTTCCATAGCACTGTGTACTTAAACAGTACCCCTTATTAATCACATTGAACTATGGTAATTTGTATATTAACTTTTTTACTAAATACCACTCAGTTATGAGCTCTATGATAACACTGGTATTGTTTGATACTTAGGGCTAAGGCATTCAGCATAGGAGGCATTCTATAGTTATATAATTAAATAAACATTTTAAAAAGTTTCCTATTTCTATTTTCTCTTTGAATTGTCTTGTTTTACGTCCTTTGCCCATGGAGGTTTTTGAAAACTATGCATATAAACTCTTTATACATTAAGAACCATTCCTGTTTATGACAAATTCTTTTTATTAAATTTTCTTTTTATGTTTTTTCAATAATTTTGTTTCTGAGATAGGATGTCTATGTCGCCCAGGGTAGTCTTGAACTCCTGAGCTCAAGTGAGCCTCCCAACTCAGCCTCCCAAGTAGCTGGGATTACAGGCATGTTCGACCGTGCCCTGCTCTGTAGCAAATTCTTTATGCCATTTGGTTGTTTGCTATTTGGTTCAGATTATAATTTTTGGGTTACAGAGGTTTTTAGATTATTATGAATTAAAAATAAATGAATCTTTTAATTTAAATTTTGTGTTAGAATTCATTTTGTTTATGCTGTGAAATGACCTGAATCCTCCGTTTTTAAACATTTATTTTATTATCCATTTCTCTTCCTTTTATTTTATTTTATTTTTGAGACAAGGTCTCATTCTGTCACCCAGGCTGGGATGCAGTGGCACCATCATGGCTCACTGCAGCCTTGACCTCCTGGACACATGTGATCCTCCTACCTCAGCCTCCTGGTGGCTGGGACTACAGGTGCACACCACCACACCTGGCTAAATTTTTTTTTTTTTTTAATTTTTTGTAGAGATGGGGTTTTGCCATGTTGCCCAGGCTTGTCTCAGAACACTTGGGCTCAAATGATCCCCCCACCGCAGTCTCCCAAGTGCTGGGATTACAGGTGTGAGCCACTGTGCTGCCCTCATTTATTTTTTATGATTCTTTTCTTAGATGAAATTGTTTCATGTAAGAAAATATAAATTCTTATACATTTTATACATTTATATTCCTATAAACTTATATATTATAATTCATATTATTTTATAATATATTATAAAATAACAACATAATTTATATGACTTATAAATATTTTATAATTCATATAATTTTTATAAACATATGCATATAAATTATTTCATTGTATATGAAATTCTTTCATATAGTGATTACAATTAATCATTTCCTAGGCTGCCTTTTATGTTTGTCTGTTTCTTTGATATATTCTACATTCTATTAATTGTTATTCTATAATATGTTTCAGTATAAAGTAGGACACATCTTAACATAGTGGGTTCAGAACCTGAGCTTTGCAGTCAAATGGGCTTGAATGACAATTTGAACTCTTCCACCTGGTTATACAACTTTGTAGTTAACCTCCACGAGCCCTGGTTTCTTATCTGTTTAATAAAATGAAACTATGTGTTTCACAGAATTGTTAAGAAAATTGAACAAGAAATCTCTATCAAGTGCTTGTTACTAAAACATGTTTGAATGCATTAAAATTGGTAGCATTTTTTTTTTTTTTTTTGAGACTGAGTCTCACTCTGTTGCAGTGGTGAGATCTTGGCTCACTGCAACCTCTGCCTCCCAGGTTCAAATGATTCTCCTGCCTCTATCTTCTGAGTAGCTGGGACTACAGGCACGTGCCACCACGCCCAGCTAATTTTTTGTATTTTTAGTAGAGACGGGGGTTTCACCGTGTTAGCCAGGATGGCCTTCATCTCCTGACCTTGTGATCCGCCAGCCTCAGTCTCCCAAAGTGCTGGGATTACAGGCGTGAGCCACTGTGCCCGGCTGGTAGCATGTTTTAAAAAGTTTTCTTGATATTCTTACTTGATTGTTCTTTCAGTTAAAGTTGTGAGTAAGTTGAAACTCCCCTCCTCCCAAAAATTCTTTTGGGATTTCAACTTGAAAATCCTATGTGTATAAAATAAAAAAGTAAATGGGTTAGGAAGAATTGACGTCTTTATGTATTTAGTCTTTGTGTTCAGGCTCAGTTTCACTCTTTTCTTGCTAAGACTGTAATTAGATAATGTTTGTTTTACCTTTTTAATTTTTTTTTTTTTTTGCAGTGAATAGGATCTCCTTTCCTTTTTTACAGTGGTTATTGATGGTGTTTAGGAAATCTATTGATTTTTCTATTTCTTCTGTCTTGTTACTTTGCTGGTAGATTCTGACAGTTTTTGGTTGATTTCTTGGATTTGCTACTACATAATGATATCCTTTACAGGTATCAATTTTTTCCCTTTTTGCTTTCTATTAGTTCCATTTTAAATTTGCTTTATTCTTACTGCATTGCCTTAGAATGTCTAGTACTACCCACAGTGAGAGTAAACTTTGTTTCATTTGTTATTTTAATGGTGCTGTAGAATCTCGAAATTACAAGTCAAGTTTGGTTTAACATATTTTCTTTCTCTGGTATGGAGCTTTAGATGTCATCTGTCAGGGTAGTAACAGTTAGTTTTTGTTGTTACAGAAATAAAATTTGTGTTGGAAGAAGTTTATGTATATATATATATATTTGTTATTTTAAAAATTGTGATTGTTTTAGTTTGTTCCTGCTGCTGTAACAAAATACCTTAAACAGATTAATTTATAAACAACCTACATTTATTTATTTATTTATTTTTATTATACTTTAAGTTTTGGGATACATATGCAGAATGTGCAGGTTTGTTACGTAGGTATACATGTGCCATGGTGGTTTGTAGCACCTATCAACCCGTCATCTGCATTAGGTATTTCTCCTAATGCTATCCCTCCCCTGGCCTCCCACCCCCGGACAGGCCCCGGTGTGTGATGTTCCCCTCCCTGTGTCCATGTGTTCTCATTGTTCAACTCCCACTTATGAGTGAGAACATAACAACATAAATTTATTGCTCACAGTTAACGGAGGCTGAAAGTCTAAGATGAAGGCTCTGGCAGATTTGGTGTCTGGTGGGGGCTTGGTTTCTGCCTCTAAGATGATGCCTTGACCGCTGCTTCCTCTGGAGGGGAACAACAATGTCCTCACATGGCAGAAGGGATTGAAGGGACTAGCTAGTTTTATTATCAAGCCCTTTGATGATATAACTAATCCATTCATGAGGGCTGACTGCTCATGACTTAATCACCTCCTAAAGGCCCTGCCTGTTAATTGAGTCCTACATTTGGGATAATCTTCAAATCTACCTCTTTGTCAAAAAGTGAGATTCCTAACATTTAACCTTGGATAACTAATAACTAAATGATACTGGAGTTTAATGCATCTTCAAGTTAATATATGTGGTATGATAGCAGGAATACCAAGGTTATTTTATTTTATTTTAAAGTGGATTTATTTTATTATTTGTTTGTTTGTTTGTTTGTTTGTTTGTTTGTTTTTTGAGATGGAGTTTTGCTCTTGTTGCCCAGGCTGGAGTGCAGTGGTGTGATCTCGGCTCACTGCAACCTTCGCCTCCCGGGTTCAAGCGATTCTCCTGCCTCAGCCTCCTGAGTAGCTGGGATTACAGATGCCCGCCACCACAGCCAGCTAATTTTTGTATTTTTAGTAGAGACGGGGTTTCACCATGTTGGCCAGGCTGGTCTTGAACTCCTGACCTCAGGTGATCCGCCCACCTTGGCCTCCCAAAGTGCTAGGATTACAGGCATGAGCCACTGCGCCTGGCCCTTAAAGTGGATTTTATACTTTTATATCTTGGTTATTAATATGGTCAGAGATACCAACATTTTAAAACCATAATTAATAAAAAAATAAGTCACTATACTAAAATAATATAGGAAAGTTCTGTTAATTTGGAGTTAAATTGTTTTAATGTAAAAATTTTGCCTGATATTTCATATTTGTCTTCAGAATGTATGCCTTTGAAATAATTATGTCTTACATGTATTACAGGTCACCATATCATCAGCCAACCTCTTACAGGCCACGCTTATTGCTCTCTGGAGAACGGGGCTCAGGTCAAACTTCTCACCTTGCTCCAGCACTTTTGCACACTCTAGAAAGATTCTCTGTGCATAGACTAGATCTCCCAGCACTTTATTCAGTTAGTGCCAAAACACCTGAGGAATCATGTGCACAGGTAGGTTTGTACCACATCAGAGCACTTCCAACTTTCTTATTGCTTATAATTTGGTAGTATTTCTAGTGTGTAGTGTTAAAGATAAGATTTTTTCAGAGTACGATATGAATATTAACTTTTTGTTGATTATTCATTAGCATTCTAGTATTAGTGTAAAGGATCCTTTTGATGCATACAGTTTTTTAAGTGAGCTCATTGTCTTTCTCATGATCCTCCTTACTGAAATTTTAATACCCTGTGTCATTATGCATTGTAGAAAGGGAGTTTATTTTGCCTTTTTCTGACCCTCTGTTCAAAGTTGTGGTCTCAGAGCAGTTTCAGACTTCTGTCTTTTCTTAGAGCCTTATCATAGAAAGGGAAATTATATCCAATTTGAGATAATCAGGATTTAATATTCATATTAGAATAGTGATAGCAGTTCAAAAATTATAGATATTTGTGTTGACAGTTGTGTATTTGACATTTGATTTTCAACTATTTTGTATTTACTGGTTTGTGAAGCAAAGTTCTAGTGGGGCTGTTTATATTTCTTGAGGTTGTTATATATAACCATGGATATATTATGTCATATTGAAACTAGGGATGAGGTTAATACATTTTTTGAGCCAAGGGACCATATCTAAGCCATTTTTGTAACTCTGACAAGGTGTCTAGCTGATAGTAAGTGGTCATTAAATGTTTGAATAATAATGTTTCAAATAAATAAGTTAGAGAGAGGAATGCCACTTTGTACTTCGATACTTAGCCTACTTTTAGAGTTAAATAACTGGAGTAGTAACACTTAAAACATTTCACACAATTTTGTTGTTTTTTTCCCAGTTACATTTTCCGAATACTTAACACATATACTGTAATTATCTAACTGAAAGCCATTTCCTACATTGTAGCAAGAAATATGCATTTTTTAAACAGTTCATAGTAGTATTGATTTAGTTTCTCTTTTACTCACAGTTCTCTGGATATGAACACCCTACCAGCACTTCATCACTTTTAAAGCCCTATTTAAAGGTTTCTTTCCAAAACCCTTGAATTAAATGCTATCTACCAGTATTTTGCTCCCAGTTTGACACATTTAACTCATCCTGGGTGTGTTTTCCAATAATGTTGATTTATATGTTTGCTCATATTTTTCTTTTTAGACAAAATTACTGCAGGTTGTATGCAAGTAAAAGAATTACTCAGTACCATTTAAAATAAATACAAATGATTTAGTAGAAAAATATAAATCAACAAAATTGACCCCAGAGAAGAGAGAATCTAAACAATCACTGTGGAAGAAGAAATTCAGCAAGTATCTTAAAACCACTAAACATAGATGGTTTCACAGGTGAATTATTTTAATCTTAAAGGATAAGATCATTTTGATGCTAGTCACACTGTTCCAACAGCATAGGAATAGGAGGAAAGCTGTGAAATTGGCAAAATCAACAATATCACATCTTTCAGGGAAATACAAAATAAAACTGTAGACCAATCTCATTTCAGCAATGTTCATAAAGAAACTATTACAAATGAAATCTAGTAGCACATCAAAAGAATAATATAACATTACTAAAGCATGCAAGATTAATTCAGTTAGACATTGAGAGATCTAAGTATTGGAAAGGATACACTGAATTTGTAAGTATTTGCCTATGATGTGATTAATTATATGGAAAACTTACAGTGTCAACTAAAAAATGATGTAAGACAATAAAGAAATTCCATAAGGTGGACACTTTCAAAGTTAGTGTTTTAAAATGATAGTTTTCTCTTATAAATACTATAATAAGTTAGAAATATAATGGAAGAAGAGGTCCCAATTGAAATAGCAACTAAGTTTACGTAGGAATTAGCAGAAACAATATGAAGGGACTATGAGAAGAAAACTAAAAGTTGCTGAGGGGGACAGTTGAATATATGAAAGACATACCTTATTTGTTTGTTTCCAAACCCAAAGGCCAGAGAAGTCTCCCACCAGGAATGCTCTCTGCCTTTCATAGTATCATCAATCTTCTTGGCTGGGGGAAGAAGCCATCTTTATTAAGGAGGCCAGAGCTGGGCTAGTCTCATGTATTCTTCCCATATCCCTAAAGTAAATATATATATTTACTTTATATATATATATATTTTTATATAAATATAAATATATATATAAATATATATCACTTATATATAAATAACATATAATATAAGTAATCACTTATATATAATAATTATATATATAATTACTTATATATATAATTATATATATAATTACTTATATATTATAATTTATAGTTACTTATATATAAATAAATTACATATATAATAAATAAATAATATATATAAATTACTGTGCTAAATTTATATATAAATATATTTATAATATATATATTATAAATATTTATATATTTATATATATTATAAATATATTTATATATTTATATTTATATATTTTATTATATACATTTATTTTTTATATATAAAATGTATATATTTTATATTTTATTATATATATATATATATTTTTTTTTTTTTTAAGATGGAGTCACGCTCTGTTGCCCAGGCTGGAGTGCAGTGGCGCAATCTCAGCTCACTGCAACCTCCGCCTCCTGGGTTCAAGCGATTCTCCTGCGTCAGCCTCCCAAGTAGCTGGGACTACAGGTGCGTGCCACCATGCCCAGCTAATTTTTTGTATTTTTAGTAGAGACGGTGTGTCACCATGTTAGCCAGGATGGCCTTGATCTCCTGACTTCGTGATCTGCCCGCCTTGGCCTCCCAAAGAAGTATCTTCAGAGATTTGGCATTTGGGTCTCAAACCAAGCTTGTAGACTTCAAAATTTGGTTGTCTGAAACTAAAATCTCTACCTTGAGATCTCAGGAGCTTATGTTGTAAACCAAAAGCGAAGAATTTTGTTTGTTATCTTCAGTCTTCTGATCAACTCTTTTGAGGCAAGAGGTTTGGAATGTTCTACATAGATAAATTTCAAATGTATTTGATTGGGCAGTTAAAAATCTGTTGAGCGTTCAACTCCATATGTGAATGTACTTTCTAGTGTGTGTATGTGTGTGCATGTGTGTGTACACACTACTATTAATCTTTATATTAGTAAATAGCAAAGCTTAGATGTTTTTTCTGCTTTAGATATCAATTAAATGTCAATATTCTCATCACCTCTTACTCTCAGCTCCCATGATCTGATCATTGCTCCAGATCTCTGCATTGGGAGTGAACCACTATATAGGAACAAGAAAGTCTGGGGATTTGGGATGGGCATATCTCAGTGAATACTTCACAGTGTCATCTGCATAGAGAGAGCCATGCCTGGCTAGAATACTTATGGTGACTTCATACTAATGATAATGTTGTGTTAATATGTGGAGCTTTAGAGGAAGAAGCACACTTTGTTTGTAATTACTGTGCTAAATTTCTTTAGTTCAGAATGTAGACTCAAGTCAAATTATGCAGATTAAAATCTCAGTTGTGGTTGTGACTTGGGCAAGTTGCTTAACACTCTGAGCCTTAATTTTCTCATCTGTGAAATGGAGATGACACCATGAGGTTATCAAATAGGCTTGACATATAGTCCTCAATGAAAGTTAGTTATAATCGTGCTTATTACTACTACCATTGCTGCCACTGCTACTGCTTACAGCTAATGAATGGTAAGACTTTAAATTCAAAGGCTGTGAGGTTTTTTCCTAAATTAATGTATAAATTAAGTACAGTTCTAATTATAATCTCCTCAAAACTTAGGGGGAGAAGTTAAAAAAAAAGAGTTCTGTTTCTTCTAGAAAATAAATATGAGAGTAGCAAGGAGAATTCTAGAGGAAAAAGTGTCATTAGGGCGCCCTACCAAAATTGTAAGGGTGTAATAGAGTTACAGTAATAAAGAAAGTATGCCTGTGCAAGAGTAGACAAAGTAATAGAACAGAAGAGACTATTCATGCTTAGACTTGTGTAGAAGTAGAATTTGATGGTTATGACCACAATGGCGATGACATTTCATATCAGTAGATGGAAGAAATGGATTATTTACCAAATGGTCTTGGAAAACTGGCAAGCTCCTCCAGTAGGGGAAAAAGCAAAACAAATAAAACTGGGATTTCCTACTTTTTTCTGTAGCCCAAAATAAACTCTACATGGGCAGTGGAACTATAAAAGTACTGGAAAAATTCACAAGGTCAGTATATTTATTATCTTATGTGTGAAAGTAATTTCTAAGCAATGCACAAAAACTAGAAAACATAAAGATATGAAGGAATTTGATTATATAAAATTTTAAATTGCACATGGCAAAAAGCATTCTTTAGATTAAATTAATAGATATAGTCTGGGAAAAAGTATATTTGTAGCAGATATGTTGAGAACAAGTTTTCTAAATATGGGCAAATACCTTAAAATCAGTAAGAAGAAAGAATAGCAATCTAATATAAAAATTGGCAAAATAGAAACATGCTATTTATGGGGGAAAATAAAAAGTAACCAATAAAAATGTGAAAAGATTCTAAGCTTCACTTAAGTGAAAATAAAGTATCAGATTTGTTTTTTTTTTTTTAAAGCTTGATAATGCCATTTGGAGATGTGGACTGCTTAGACTTAGTGGAAATGTAAATTTATTTGATGTTTTTGGAGTGTAATTTGGCACCATCTTTTAAAATTTCAAGTACCACATTGGTGTAGTGTGAGAAAAGAAAATAACATTTCAAATACATATACCTTTTGACCCAGGAATTCTATGTTTAGGAATTTTTCCTAAAGATACGTTAGCTACAAGTATTCATTGCTAAATGAACAAGGATATTTGTCACTGTGTCGTGTGTAATTGCCACACGAAACATAAAGGCAAACAAACTGAATATCCCTTCACGTGGGACCAGCTAAAATTAGTTATGGTGTATCTTGACATACAAAGGAGTACTGTCTAGCCATTAACATGAATGAGATAGATTTACATGGGCTGAAAAATGCAGGTGACATTAGTGAAAAAAGCAAGTATTCTCAAAAACTGTTAATATGGTTGCTTTGGCTTGGGGAGAAGGAATCTGGAAGATTGGGAAATGTGTGAACCTTGCCTTTTTAGTTTATGCTATACTGTTTAGAAAATTCTCTTTTTTGAAGTTTTTATTTGACTGTATCAAGCAAGCTAAAGATGAAAAAAATCACTTTGAAAGAGAAATATTTTCTTTTCTTTTCTTTTTTTTTTTTTTGAGACAGGGTTTTGCTCTTGTTGTCCAGGCTGGAGTACAATAGCGTGATCTCGGCTCATTGCAACCTCCGCCTCCCGGGTTCAAGTGATTCTCCTGTCTAAGCCTCCCGAGTAGGTGGGATTATAGGCGCCCACCACCACGCCCAGCTAATTTTTGTATTTTTAGTAGAGTTGGGGTTTCACCATGTTGGCCAGGCTGGTCTGGAACTCCTGACCTCAGGTGATCTACCCGCCTCTGCCTCCCAAAGTGCTGGTTGTAATCTAGTCATGAGCCACTGTGCCCAGCCAAGAGAAATATTTTCAAAGTGAGAAAGGTTTTTTTATTTTTGTTTATAGTTGTTCCTTATGGTTAATTTGTATATATATTCACAAACATTACTGGTTTAATGTTATTTAAGTAAAGGTAAGGAAACACTTAGGAAGCATTGTAGTGAACTATATATTGATGTTATAGGGTTTTTTTTTTTTTTCCTGATTTTTTTCGTGGCATGATTCTGAATCCTGCTTGGCCAACTTTGAATTCTAACTTCATCCTCTGGTCTCTTGTACGCTTCTTGGCTTTTACTACTTTTTTGTTTTGGTGGGAAGGAGAGAGGTGTCACTTGGTAGTGAAAAACAATGAAAACTCACTATCATTTTGGTTGTATTTCACTTTCTCTAGTACATTAAGGCATCTCATCTTCTGAGTTTATACCTAAGAGCTTCTGGGTTAGAAGTCGAGCTTACTCTAGAGTGACCCCTCCTGGATAGGCAGTCTGCCAGGACGAGCCATGAAGTGCAGTCATGATAGCAGACACCCACCCTCTATCTGAACACTGGCCAGAGACCAGATGTCTTGGCTAATCTGTGATTATATGTGTCTTAAGTGCATATTTAAAATTATTTTACATTCATAAATATAACACTATCTTTGCTAACAAATTCGGCAAGAAGAAGCTGTTACATAATGTAAGAGGAATTTTTAAATAATTGGTAAAGGTTGGCAAACCAGGTTATAAGTGGGTACAAAAGCGCTAGGGAAGAGAGTGCATGAGTCAGGTGCTGAAACACTGGAAAGATTGAAAAAGATTCTCTTTTCTTCTGTTCTATATTCCTTTTTGGTTCTTCCTTTTTGCTTCACCTTTCTTGGCAGCTAGTCCTCCTATACTCAGAGGTATCTCTCTAAATCGATGTGTAATATAAGGGTTTAGTCTGTGGTAAGTTATTCTTGCATGTTTTCTCTTTTCCCCAGGCTCTAAAATGCTTAATATAAATTAAGTTTGGTATTTAGTAGTGTAACATGAACATGAAAGGCAGTCTTAAAGGGAATCTTAAATCACTTTTAAAGGGCTGTATGTATATGCGTGGTAAGGTGGGAGACCCTACTTGATATTGTTTATACTGTGGGGATCATGTTTCATTTTATGTCTATCCTTTAAAACATACATGCACAAGAATATACATGACAGAACTTTCTTTTCTCCTTCTGACGGATTCAGCTATTGATTAATATTATCAATTGGAGTGAAAAATGGCAGAGTTAGTGTCAACTATATTAAAAAGCAATGTTTTTCTTATTGTTTCTTAAGATTTAGTGTGCATAAGAATCACCTGAGTGTACTTACACAAATTTCTGATTTTCTGGCTCCACACCCATAGATTGTGATTCACTCAATTTGGAATGAGTCCCAGGAATCTGTACTTTGTAAAAATGCATCTCAGATATTACTATTCTAGGTTTTCAATAGCTCTCACTTTGAGCTATAGTACTTTAGCTGGTCACTAGACATTAGTCCAACATTTATTACTGAAACAAATGCGTGCGCGTGTGTGTGTGTGTGTGTGTGTGTGTACACACATATGTTACTGAGCATTTCACAGTCAGCTTTGGAAGGAGAATGAGAACCCTTGGTATAGCCTGGAAGATTTATAGTTGCCCCCTTAAGTTCACAAGTAATTACTGAGTCCTACAACAAGGCAGGAGATGTTAATATCGGTAGTAAAAGACCTTTGGTATTAACACTCTTAAAAAACAAAACAAAACTATGATTCTCTTTTTCTGACATCCTCAAATATAATTTTTGCCTCCTGTATATTTCTATTGTTGATTTAGAAAAAAGGGACTGATAAGCGTGCTATATTTTATCTTTTTAATTATTAGAGAGGTTTCATTCAATTAATACATTTATATATGGTCTGAAAAGCTTTGGAGTTTATGTACTGTGTGGTGTTGGGAATAATTTCAAAAGGTGAATAAGGTCTTTTCTTGGTGAAAATTTAAATGCATTTCTTTCCCCAGAAAGAAATTGTTATCTGGAATTTCACAGGGGAAATTCTTTTTGGTTGAATAGCATGAAAGTATTAATAATGTACTTACCTGTGTGTATACTTCGGTTGCTCTTGTGTTTGTGCTTATAGATTTCTGGATTTCTCTGTAGCAGTCTGTGTATATTTTGGATGCTTTTGTGTTTGCTCACATGGATATCTGACTTTTTCCATAGCAACACTTCTTAAATTTTTTTTTTTTTTGAGTTGTAGACAAGTTAAATTATCCTGACCTGGAGTGTGTCACATTTACTGAAATTCTTGAAGTCCTTAGGGAATGAAAATATTAGAAAAAGAATTTAAGTGATTTAATTTTCATAAAATGCTAATTTGTGTTACTACCATAGTTCAGAAACTAGTACAGGTGTGTTTTATAACAGGCTGATTTTATGTGCATGTAAAGAAATTTGTACCTTATTTATTGAATCCTGAATCTTTAGAATCCAGACAGTGCCTTCTTTTCACAAGAGATTCTCAATAAATCTTATATGAAGGGAATATAAATAGAGTAAAGGGATAAAAATGGAATAAAGCCACCAGCAATGCACAGATGTTATTTATTTTAATAATTTCTGATAGCATGGCACAAAGAATTAAACTTATTTATTAGTGCCTTTTAATTTTTATAAATATTGAGGATGTTTTAGCTCCCAACATTTTTCTTTTACCTGTGCTTTATAATTTTAATATATTTATAATACTATTAAGTGATTGAGACAAGTTCTGGAAGTTTCTTGATGACACAAATTTGTTTCCCTCTTTTCTATATTGCCCTCTTTAGGCAGGTAAAAGTGATACTGGCTTTGAGCTTTCTGCTTCATTCACATTTGGGTTTAAAATTTTTCTAGTTTTCAATTTCTAAAGGAAATGGCTTGTTGTGGGACTATAAATTCTTAGTTTAAAAATACACTAGATTTTCATGGATGGAACATTTTAATTTCATGGCTAAAATGCTGACTTCAAAGTTTAGCTTTTGAGATGATTAGAACTCTTGTAAGTGCAAGAGTTATATCATGAGTGCTTCCTTGGATGGATACTTCTAACTTCAATGGCCTGATTTTTGCCTTTAATATCTTTAATATTTAGAGGAAGTAGTTTGTGATTTTTTTTTAATAAAGAAAGTTTTAAAAAAATTAGTTATCTAAGGTCCTTATGATGTCTGTGGCAAGAAGGAGGTCAGAAGGAAATGGAGTATAATGTTGTAATAAAGAATCAAAATGAACAGTTCACATATGCTGGTATTTGTTCATTTTACTTGTGCAAGAGTGCTGGTCATGTCAGAGGTATTTTGAAACGGTTGGTTCAGTAATTTGGCCTACTGTCTTTTTTTTTTTCTATAACAGTTTTTCTGTTTTCTACTACACCTTGCACATCCACCAATCCAAGACACCCTATAGGTGAGTATTTTTCTAGTTCTCAAATGGCATCACTTGTTCCCAAGCCAGTTGCCGCTTCATTGAAACTAGGCTATATTTTTCTACTCTGAATTATCTGGTATTTGATTTCACAGAGTGTATTTTACTCCACACTTTAAAAGTTACCAGCAAACTGCTGAAGAGCTGTTTTTATATTACAGAAAAAAATCATAATAGTATTAAACTTTTTTTTTTCCTGTTGCTTATACTATAAGAATTTTTAAATGCTATTCTCAAACTCTGTTCTTTTTGAATTTTTATTACAAAATGGGAATTAGAACAGACTGGTTATAAATCTAAAGAAAATATAAAAGTTTATTTTAATATTCTGAGATAACATAGAATAAGGAATTTAAAAGAAAGCTTGTTTTAATAGTGCTTTTTAGTTTTTGTAGAAATTAAGGATGGTTTTCCTCTAAAGACTTAGGAGAAAAATTACAAAAATATTTCATAGATGTTGGTATTTCATGTAGTTAGGTTAATTCTCAATTCATGTAATTATACACTCATAGATCAGAAAGGCGAAGCCTTTTTATTTTTCCATGTTCATCTTAGACTTGCCTGATTTTTTTCCCCAATAGGTTTTCAAATATAAATTTTTTTTTTAATCAAGAAGGACATTTTCCTAAAGGCTTTGGAAGTAAAAAGCTTCGAGATTTTTTTTTTAATTGGATCACTAGGATATCATGTTCAATTTGTTAATTTTGAGAAGATGAGATGAAAATAAGAAATTTTTTGGAAATGTGGACAAATTTCTAAATTTTTTAATGGGGTCAATACAACATCATGTTCAATTTGAGTTCAATATCATGTTAATTTTGAGACAATTGGAGGAAAAAAAGAAACAGAAAAAAACAAACCTCAACTCTTAGAGCTGGTGATGATTGTATGTAGTTCACCCTTGCAAATACAGTTAAGACACCTGTAGTTAACTTCTGACTCTGTCAAATTGTTATCACTTAACCTTCTGTTGCTTTGCTCATCCTCTTTGATACTTGTTAATGGCTAGATGTTCTCAACACATGTTCCTGGAAAATCTAACCTAGAAGTACTAGAATGAAAGGCAAAATTTCATTTTTTTAAAGGCATGTTTTCCTATCTCTCTCATACCCTGGGCATGTATGTGGTAGCTTGCATGGCTGAATTAAGTGATTGGCTTTGTGAGGTTTCTTAGTAACCTATAGCTGGTTAGTCTTTCATATGATCACCTTTGTTTCCTTGCTGACTCTTTCTTGTTTTACCAGCACAGAGTGGGGAACTGGAAAGTGACAAAAGGAGTTGGTCACTGTCTTCCACGTAACCATGCCTGATTTGGGTGGCATGTAATTTTTTTTTTTTTTAAATAAGTGCCTCAGTTGCCTTTGTGCTTCTGCATGGTTCTTTCCTTTTGCCAATATTTATGCTTGTTTTTCTCTTATGAATTTTCTACAAGAACTTTGGAAAAAAATAATCCTTGGATTTCCAAGATCCAGGATAGGAGGGTACGTGTTTGCAGAAAAGGTCAAAATTTGAGAGTCCTGAAGGAGTTGTACTGTACAACTGTTCTGGATTGGTGGATATGCAAATATTAAGGAAGGGAAGGAGCAAATATTACTTTTGATGTGAGTGATCATAACATCTACATTTTTTCCAATTATTATTTGAGCTTCTTTCATCTGGTTTATTATTGAATTGGCAGTACCTTTTATTTTACACAGAAGGTTGAAAGCTGTATAAAATACACTATTTAAAAAATGTATGCAAGTGGTAAGCTTACTCATTAAAGAAAAATAATACTTGATTCTTAGGATAGTTTCCGATAATCCCAATCATTTTAAATATTAAATTTTTCTTTTCTTTTTTTTTTTTTTTTTTTGAGATGGAGTCTCACTGTCTCCCAGGCTGGAGTATAGTGGTGTGATCTCGGCTCACTGCAACCTCCACCTCCCGGGTTCAAGTGATTCTCCTGCCTCAGTCTCCTGAGTAGCTGGGACTACAGGCGTGTGCCACCACACCTGGCTAATTTTTGGATTTTTAGTAGAGGTGGAATTTCACCATGTTGGACAGGCTGGTCTTGAACTCCTGACCTCAAGTGATCTGCCTGTCTCAGCCTCCCAAAGTGCTGGGATTACAGGCGTGAGCCACCGTGCCCAGCTAAATTCTTATTTCTATATCTTGTATATTACATAGGCTAATTGAAATGTGTTAAAAATAAGGGAAAATAAGTCGAGCATTTTAGGAATAGAATTCTCAAAATGGAAGAAAGATTTTTATAATTAAACTTGTTAAAGATAATGAGAAATGTCCTATTAACATGTCAGAATTTGTTGGTGGGATATTAAACTGTTGACTTAATAAGTAAGGGACATTAATTCAGCTTGGCAGCTTACTAATAGCCAACCTGGTCCCTATTGGTGTGTGTTGGCAGAGCGTGATTGAAACTATGGTTAAGACTTTTTAACACCTGAGGAAAAATTCATTCTGTATTTTCTGACAATGGAAGTGTCGCAGAGCTCTTTGCTATCATTTGCTCTTTAGATAAGTTAGAGTATTTTGTGACTATTTTATAAAATATTGAACTAAGATAATGGGAGGAGGTGAATGACTGTTTCAGCAAGTAGTTCATTAATTTTAAGCTCTAGGGTGGTACATCTTGGTTAAAATGATTATATATTGTATGATTTTAGTCAAGGTGCTCAAAAATGTAAACTATGTTGTTGTTCTTTTTGTAAAGTTTACTGATATCACATGAGTGCCATAGGTGTATGTTTATCTCTTTATTTGCAGCATATTTTACAGTGGTGTTTTGCTTTATTATCTTTACATGCTAGATAAGTGGAGCAATTTGATACCTTCCACTGTTAATATATACTGAATAGGAATAATTAAAGGGCAAAACATACTTTTTTTTTTGATAGGGCAAAACATACTTTTTTTTTTTTTGGTGGGGCAAGGGTAGATTGAAGCTGTGTAAGGCTTGTGCATCATATCTTGAACTTAAATTTTGAGGCTGAAACTAATGACCATAATAGGCCTGACATATTTCATGTATTTGGAGATTACTGGGTAGACTTTAGAATAATCAATTTGAGTTGTTTAATGTTGGTTTTTTTCCTTAATTAGATTTTTCGTGAAGCTCGAAGAACAGTACCTAGTATTGTTTACATGCCTCACATTGGGGATTGGTGGGAAGCTGTCAGTGAAACTGTGAGAGCAACTTTTCTGACATTGCTACAAGATATACCATCATTTTCACCTATATTTTTATTGTCTACCTCTGAAACCATGTACAGTGAACTGCCTGAAGAGGTAAGAACTGATTAAATATTTATCTTTCCTTATTATATTGTTCTAAAATAGTTGACTCTGTAAATTGGACACCTTTTAATTATTATAAAATTAATACTGCCAGGGTTTATATCCTGGGTGTAACTGCCTATTAGCTGTATGATGTAGGTAAGTTATTTAAGTTTTAGTTTCTTTTTTGGTATAGTGGTATTCCACAGTGTTGTTATAAAGATTGAGATAATTTATGCTTAGAACAAAACCTGAATTATATATATACAGATTCAGCATCTCTAATTCAAAAATTCAAAACCTGAAACTTCTTTGAGTGCTGACATGAAGCCACTAGTGGAAAATTTGACACCTCACGTGATGGGTTGCAGTCAAAACTTTGTTTCTTGCACAAAATTATTAAAAACATTGTATAAAATTACCTTCAGGTTATGTGTATAAGGTTTTTATAAAACTTAAATGAATTTTGTTTAGACTTGGATCCCATCCCCAAGATAATCTCGTTATATATATATGCACATATTTTAAAATCTGAAAAGGTTTGAAATCTGAAACACATCTGGTCTCAGGCATTTTGGAAAAGGGATACTCAGCTTTCTAAGAAAATTGTGGCTATATCACTATCAGTTATATCCTTTTCATCCTTATCATCTGTGGGGTCATTTGATGAGATTTGACCTTTCAGCCCTTTCATTGATAGCACCATGTTAACTTGAATGTTATTACTAATACACGTATTTTTCAAATCTGAAGTCTAACTTTGAGTTCAGATCTAAGGTAAAATCATAGTTGATTCAGAAAAAAATAGTAGATCATCTTACTTGAGTGAAATTGATTTTTTAAAAATTGTTTTAATACCCTGAGCTTACTAGGTCTTGAAATAGTCTCCTTTAGAAATGCTTAGAAATATTTTCCCCAGGAGACAAAGTAGGAATGATGTTTATATAAAAGATTTACATGTTTTAAGTGCTATAATATAAATCTTGATTATGTAGAATTTTATGGTTAAAGTGTTTGTTTACTGAGTTCTTTTGTGTTTCAGCTTTCATTAGTTATCTTGCTAAAATAGATTTGTATACTTTACTGCTTTTTGTAAGGAAAATATATTAAATGTAGAGTAATTCATTTTTGATTATTCAATATCTGATAGTATAGGAAGATCACTAATCAAAATGTTTATCATAGAGGCTAATAAAGTTTAATAGAATGCTTTATGTAGCAAGAGTTAGAAAAACCAGGGTATTGACTTACTAGTCTTTTGATCTTAGATAAATACTTGAACGTATAATTGCTTCATTTTCATCTATAACATGTGGATAATAACAGACAGGGTCATTGGTGTGAGACAGTATACGTGAATTTCTTTTGAAACCATGGAGCTATTAAATGTTTGGTATTAGTATTATAAAGTAGGAATGCAGCTGAAGTTGAAATTTAGAGGAATGGACTGAACCTGGATATAACCTGGGAGCCACTTTACAAGTTAGATCCTCTTTATCAGTTTTATTCTAATTTTATAAAAAGAAAGAGAAGAGTTAAAATGTGGGATACATGAGGGTTCTAGTTGGGAATATATAGGGAATATTCCCTGAAAATTTCCCTCTATATTGTTTGAAAAATTTCTAAATAAAAGTTTGATGAGCCTAACTTCTTGATAAGCAGTTTTTATTTTACCTACTTCTGTTGCCCATATGCATATGTAATTTTACTGTTGGTTTAGTATTTTAAAGCTAACATTATATCATGTACATTTCCAATGTTATACTGTTGTCATAACTTATAATGGATTCAGAAAGCCCACTGACTAGTAACCTTTTTCAGTATTTATTTACCAATACCCATAATTACTATCTAAAATATTAGAAATTTGCCAGCATTGAATTCTGAAATTTCAGCTCCTTTCCCTCTCGCTTTTGTCTTTATAAGTAGTTTTTAAAGCTATCGTGGATATCGTATTTGTGGGCTGAAGATTATGGGAATTCTCTTTTGATTATATAACATGTTTTATACTAATAGTTTGTAGGAAATTCTCCTCTGTTCCCAAGTCTTAACATTTTATTTTATTTGTTTACTTACTTTTGTAGAGACGAAGTCTCATTATGTTTCCCAGGCTGGTCTTGACTCCTGGTCTCAAGTGATCCTCCTGCCTCAGCCTCCCAAAATGCTGGGATTATAGGTGTGAGCCACCATGTCCAGCTAAGCCTTACAATTTAATTTCAGGTCTACCATTAGAATGCTTGCTTTCTTTTTTCTTTTTTCTTTTTTTTTTTTGAGATGGAGTCTCACTCAGCCACCCAGGCTGGAGTGTAGTGGCGTGATCTTGGCTCACTGCAACCACCATCTCCCAGGTTCAAGTGATTCTCCCGTCTCAGCCTCCCGAGTAGCTGGGATTACAGACACCTGCCATCATGCCCAGCTAATTTTTGTATTTTAGTAGAGATGGGGTTTCACCATGTTGGCCAGGCTGGTCTTGAACTCCTGACCTCAGGTGATCTCCCACCTCGGCCTCCCAAAGTGCTAGGATTACAGGGGTGAGCCACTGCGCCTAGCCTGCTTGCTTTCTTTAGGTCACAAACTAAGATAGTAATCTCTAATATTTAGCACATATTGATAAATATTTGGTGAATGAATGAGTAGCACAGAGAGTTGTAGACCAAGTAGCTGTAGGTTAGCAAGTTGCCAGATCTATGGAAGAAATGAAGTAGAGAGTGGGCAGTACAAAACCAATTCTCAGAGGAAAAAATGGCCTATTACTACAGTTGTACTACTGTACTCCAGCCTGGGCAACAGAGTGAGGCCGTGTCTCAAAAATAAAAGAGAAAATTTAATGTCATGAAAATATGTTTAAATGTATTGTTTTAAAAAATGCAGGTAATAAATCAATGTGTATGGTGTTTATAAAGATATAACTGGAAGGATATACACAGAAATGTTAATAGTAATTATCTGTGGATATAAAAGTTATAGTCATTTTAGTTTTTTATTGTCTTTATTTTCTATATCTTCCATAATAAATAACTATCATTATAATCAGAAAATAAACCTCATTATTCACAGAGGAAGGAGAAAGGAAGTTTTCCTGCTCTATTTTTAAAATAGAAGAAAACCCCAAAATAATTAGTCCTTCCATGATTAGTGTCTTATTAGTGGGACAAAATGACAAGTTCATCTTTTAGAACTTCTTTGACATTCTCTTGTGTCTCTTTGTATATATCCCTCTCTTGTAGTTCAATAGTCCCCACGATAAGTTTGTACTTGTGCATTGGGATACTGGGGAAAACATTAGCATTTCTGTTCATTTTTATTTTTCATATTAAATATTTCATGCATATATGGTTTATAATAAAACTATAAACCATATATACATGAAATATACTGTACTATTAAATATACTATTTTGGTAATAGTATATTTAATAGTAGTATAGCAAAACAGTATATTTAATAGTACAGTATATTTCATGTGTATATGGTTTATAATATATTATTTCCAAGTAGTATATTAGCAAAATAGTATATTTAAATAAATATGCATATAGTAATGAGAATATTTTCAGATTTTTTACTGATGAGGTGTTTGATCAAAAAAGTTTGGAAATCATTGCACCAGACCAGCTGTTATCAAAGTGTGGTCCAAGGACCCCTGAGGAGCCCCCAAGACTTTTTCAGGGGATTATCAAGTTTCATTTCCAACTACATATCTGCTGAGTCTGGGTTTTCATTATATACTTCAGTCAAACAACATATTGTAACAGATTGAATACAGAAGCAGAAATGAGAATCCAGTGGTCTTCCATTAAGCCAGACACAAAAGAGAATTGAAAACATTTAAAACAGTGCTGGCTGGATGTGGTGGCCCATGCCTGTAATCCCAGCACTTTGAAAGGCTGAGGCAAGCGGATCACTTGAGCCTAGGAGTATGAGACCAGCCTAGGCAACATGGCATAACACCATCTCTACAAACAATACAAAAATTAGCTGGGTATGATGGCGCGTGCCTGTAGTCCCAGCTATTCAGGAGGCTGAGGTGGGAGGATCGCTTAAGCCTGGGAGGTGGATGCAGTGAGCCAAGATCGTGTCACTGCACTCCAGCCTGGGTGACAGAGTGAGACGCTGTCTCAAAAAAAAGATAAAACAGTGCCACTTTTCTCGCTAAATTTTGTTTTATGTGTTTTATGTTCTTTCTATATTTTGGAAAAATATATTTTTCAAAAGAATATATGTTTTATTCTTTTAATGTTAGTGTTAATATCTAATGGGCTTATTTAAAATCTGTAAATATTGATGCATATAGCTCACATACATAAAAGCTTTTTTGGGGTCCTGAGACCAAAAAGTTTGTGCACCTCTGGTCTCTAGACCACTAGCACTTTCAGGTGTTACTGGCCATCATTTCTCCCATTCCTAGCACAGTGCTAACACATTGGAATTACTCTGTAAAAGTTTGCTGCATGAAAAAAGGAACTAACAGTTGAATCATCACGTAGGATTTAAGTAACCCTTGCCCAGCCTCACTCGCTTTCTGCATAATTCTTTCTTTTAAAATATTTTTTCTTTAAATTTTTGACCACTTGAGAACCATGCAGAATTGTAGTGTAAGTAAATTTACTTTTATAAACCCTTTCTGAAGATACTTGGAGAATTTTATTTGAGATATATGGGAATTGCAAGGTATTTATGGAGAATTAGAGAAGAGAGTTAATTTAAGGTTGAGCACAGAAAAAAGACTCTTAAGGGAGGAAGCAAATAAATTAGAGATATTTGTAGGAAGGAATGTAAACCTTGGCCAGAATTGTATTTCTGTTTCTGAAGACATTCACAGTATCTGCTTTGTTATTAAATTATTATGAGCAGGTTTAAGATTATATAATTCAGTATATTGGAAATGAATTTTAAAGAAATATTCCTCAGCTATGCTGATGAAAGTAAGATTACATATAGCATTTTGTTATCTTAAATGTTTCTTGTCATTGTCTCTCTAGGTTTATGGTAGGACCTGGGAGGGGAAAATCAGTAACTTCAATTAGAAAAATCAAGTAGGGGCATTGAAAACTCAGATTAATGATCATAAGATACAAGGGAACTGTTTTAATATTAATATTTTGGTAATAAAACAATTACGTGATTCTTAAAATTTAAGAGGAAGGAAATCTTCTCAAGTTTTTTTTTTTTTTTTTTTTTTTTTTTTGAGACAGAGTCTCTCGCTGTTGCCCAGGCTGGAGTGCAGTGGCACAATCTCGGCTCACTGCAAGCTCTGCCTCCCGGGTTCACGCCATTCTTCTGCCTAAGCCTCCTGGAGTAGCTGGGACTAAAGGCGCCCGCCACCACGCCCAGCTAATTTTTTGTATTTTTAGTAGAGAAGGGATTTCACTGTGTTAGCCAGTATGGTCTTGATCTCCTGACTTCGTGATCCACCCACCTCAGCCTCCCAAAGTGTTGGGATTACAGGTGTGAGCCACCGTGCCCGGCCACAAGTTTTTTTTCCCTAAGTGAAATAGGATAGTAGGTAAACATAGTTACTATTTTGAGATATGTAAACTATTTCTATTTTTATTTAATGGGTTGATATCCTATTTTGTTTTGAGCAAAGCAAATTTTATTTATGAAAGCTTTCTTAGGTTTATTTCTGACCTCTTTTTCACACCTTTTGTTATTGAGATCTTAAGTTCTTTTTTTTTTTTTTAGATCTTAAGTTCTTAACCATTAATTTTTCTTATTACAAAGGTTGCAGGAACCCTACCTTCAAAACTGGGGACTAACAATTCTAAGGAATGTGTTAATAAATTCGATAAAACAAAAAGGTTGGCCAGGTGCCATAGCTCATGCCTGTAATCCCAGCACTTTGGGAGGCTGAGGCTGGTGGATCACGAGGTCAGGAGATCGAGACCATCCTGGCCAACGTAGTGAAACCCCGTCTCTACTAAAAATACAAAAATTAGGCTGGGCGTGGTGGCACGCTGCTTGGGAGACTGAGGCAGGAGAATGGCGTGAACCCAGGAGGCGGAGCTTGCAGTGAGCCGAGATTGCACCACTGCACTCCAGCCTGGGCGACAGAGCAAGACTCCGTCTCAAAAAAAAAAAAAGATGGCTGTTATTAAAAAAAAACAGAAATTAACAAATGTTGATGAGGATGTGGAAAAAGGAGAACCTTTTTGCATTGCTGGTGGGAATGTAAAATTGTATAGCCACTGTGGAAAACAGTATGACATTATCTTAAATATATAAATGCCATATGATCCAGCCAATCAAGTTCTAGGTACTTACTCAAAAGAATTGAAAGCAGGGACTTGAACAGGTATTTGCACACCCATGTTCACAACAGCATCATTCATAGTAACCAAAAGGTGGAAACATCCTCAGTGTCCATTGATAGTTGAAAGGATAAACAAAATGTAGCATATACAATGGAACATTATTTAGCCTTAAAAAGGAGAAAATTTTGATGCATGTTGTAACATGGATGAAGCTTGAAGACATTATGCTAACTTAGTCATAGGACAAATTTTGTATAATTCCTTTTATATGAGGTTCCTTAGAGTATATGTAAATGGATGATAAGTGTATGAAAAGATGCTCATTATCAGTCATTCAGGAATGAAATACCACTGCAACCCACTAAAATATAGGTTGGGCAAGAGTAATTGCGTTTTTTGCCATTGAAAGCTGCAAAAAAAAAAAAAAAGTGCTTTTGCACCAACCTAATAGCTGTAATCAAAAATAAAGAATACCAAGTATTGGCAAGGATATAGAAACTGGAGTCCTTATATACTGCTGGTGGGATTGTAAAATGGTGCAGCCACTTTCCAAAGTTAAACATAAATTTATGGTATGACTCAGCAATTCCACTCCTAGTTATCTACACAAAAGAAATGAAAACATACTTTCACAGAAAGACATTTGTATGGGAATGTTTCTAGTTGTTGTACTCATACTAGCAAAAAGTGGAAACAATCCAAATGTTCCTTAATTGGTGAATGGCTAAACAAAATGTGATGAAATACTATTCAGCAATAAATGGAATGAAATACTAATACATACTACAACTTGGAAAAACCTGAAGTTTTAAGTGACAGAAGCCAGGCATAAAAGACTGTCAGTTGTATGATACAAAATGTCTAGAAGAGGCAATTCTCTAGAGACAGAAAGCATTATCAGTGGTTGTTAGGCTGGGACATGGGAGTGGGAGTGGGGATTGACTGCAGATAGGCCTGAGGAAACTTTTTGGGGTAATGGAAATGTTCTAAAATGTGCTTGTGATGGCTACACATCTGTAAAAATTTACTGAACATTATTGAACTGTTTTTTCAGAAATATTGGAAGGTGTGCCTAAGTGCATCTGGGAAAGTTAGGGAAGGCATCACACAGAAAGCATCAGCTTGAGTGGTGCATTAAAGAAGGGGTCAGGAATGAGTGAATACTATGTATCACAACCAGTGTGAACCAATGTGAAACAGAGCGTGATTTGTTCTGGGAATTATGGAAGGCTTGTCTTTGGTACACCATGAAGTTTGAGGCTAGGACTGTCAGAAGATAAAGTTAGGAGTGAACTTAGAGAAGTATAATTTATCCCACTTATAAAATGTTGGATTCTAAGGTGTTGGTAGTAACCTGGTAAGAATATCCATGGATTATTGTAGGCCTGTTCTTGGTATGCTTTTGTATTCATAAAGTGTTAACATAGTATTGAAAATTATCAGAGAAAATAGTTAAAATGAAATGTTTTGCCATTCTTGAACGAAATCGTGGTACGTCTAGGATATTAAGTTCTACTTATTTTTCAAGACCCAATTGATATAAGTGATTTCTGGTACATCTTACCTAGTGTCTTTTCACCCCTTGCAAGGTCTCTGCTCTGTTTTGCTACCTCTGTTACAGTACTCCCAGCATAGTATCATAATGCTTTTCTTCTGATACTCTAAAATCTTTGACAGCAGAGAACAAAGACATTTTCTTCAGTTTTATAACTGCAGTGTCTGGCATGATGTTTGACATACAAAGCATGTTCAGTAGTAAATTTACTTCCAGAACTTTCAAAGAAAGGCCATCAAAGCATTGATTAAAGGGTTGGAGGGAACTGTGCATGAAGGTAGTCTACAAAAGCACTGGAACGACACAAGGTGAAATTTTATGAACTTTTAAATGATTTGACTTTAGGTTGAGATAAATAATTCCCCATCCAGTTTTTGAATTCTGATGTTTACCTTTCATTGTTTCTTCTTCTCTTAGAATTTCAGAGCTGGAAAAGGCATTGACAGTTTATATAATTTAGTCTTCTTTATTCACTTTATTACCTTAAGCCAATTACTTAAATCTTTCTAAGCCCCAGTTTCCCCATCTGTAAAATGAGGAAATAATACTTACCTCATTGTTATGAAGGTAGAATGATATCATATTTATGGAATTTTTAAGGGTTCATTTCATAGGTTTAATCCAGTAAGTGGTTAGAAATGACAAACTGAATGAATTATTCAAATTTTACCACAAATGTGTGGCTAAATTTGGGCAGGAATATGATGTCTTTGATTCTAATCCATATTTTCACAGTGTCATGGTTGGTCTATCTTTCCATACTGGTGACTTTCTCCCTTTTTTTATTTGCAGTTTCCTGTTTGATTTGGGCTGGGTAACAAAAATCACAAGGTTAACTCTTTCAGTACATACTTATTAGGCATTGCTAAATACCAGGCACTGGGATAGGTATAGAAAAATAGGTGAATAAGAAGTGGTCTCTGTTCTCAGGGAGTTTGGTGTCTAGAAGGTAGAAGGTAGACATTCTAGAAAAACCATAAAAATTAAATACAGTGTTTAATGCCATAGTAGACAAATTTGGATGAGGTAAAGAGCATTTAAACAGCATATCTTGGAAGGTGGACACCTGGGGTCAAAGTCTGAGTAGGTAAACAGAAGAGGTGAGTAATCACCAAGTGGATGGAGCTGAAGGATATGAGAATAATTGGCTTAATTTTTTTGGAGTGTGTCATGGAGCATAAACTAGACTAGAGGTATAGTTTCTTTGCAGTGGAACCAGGATTCCAGAGATTACAGTGAAATAGACTTGGTAGGGAAAGAGCACAGTAAGGGAAGTCAATGGATAGGGAGTACAAAGAAATACGAGGATAAGAGATGGCAATGTTAACATTCTTCCAGCTGTACTATTATAGATTCGAAGTAATTACTTTTCCCCTCTTAATGTAAAAGCCTTTGAGATTGTTGCCATCTGTTACAACCAGCTATCCTTTTTGCTATTATCTGATGACTCTTACTAGATATGTAGTATCATTCATTAATGACTTGGGTAACTGGACATTCTTCCATTCCTGTTTAGCCCATGCGGTTGAACCCTTCAACAGCATAGCCTAGGACTAGGTTAACTATAACCCCATGTGAATGGTCTATGAATATTGAACATGATACTGGAAGATGAAGACATTGCAATTTGGTATGATATGTAAGCTTTTAATTCTTTATATATTTAATGTCTTTGTGTGTGTGTATATGTGTAGGTTAAATGTATCTTTAGAATACAGTATGAAGAGGTCTTGTATATTCAAAGGCCTATTGAAGAAGACAGAAGAAAATTTTTTCAAGAATTGATTCTCAATCAGGCATCAATGGCTCCACCACGAAGGAAACATGCTGGTAAAGTTTGTAAAGCCTTTAGGAAAATGGGAGGGATGGAGTTAAGAAATACCCTTTCTTGGAGTCAGTTTATTTTAGCCCTTTCTTCTTGGAAGTGAGGACAGTTTGTCAGGTTCTGTTTATCTTTAGATGACGTGTGGAAGTGTCCATTGTGTTCACCTGACTTGAGATTGGGAAGTATAGCCTTGTTAAAGCTTTGCTAAACAGGACTTCTTCTTATGACTTCAACCACATCCTGTGGTAGATGTCACATTATGGGGCTCAAAAAGTCATAGAAAAAAGTCTTCAGTTCTCCTCTGTTTTAGTCACAGTAAGTACCCAGGAGTTGAACTGGCAGGTTGTGAACACCAGGTGTTGTGCTCATTACTTTTTGGGCCATGATAGATTTGATGGGCTAATAGCTGCTTAGAACATTTGCCATTTCTAGTTTATTTATTGATTGACTTTTCAAATACTTATTTAGGACCCCTTACATTTAACGTTGTATTCTAGCCATTTGAAAATCTATCCTGCCTTTGTTTTAAGTGTTAGATTTTTCTTGGGTTTGGACTCAATAATTTTGGACTCAAGAATTGAGCTTAAGAGGTACCTCAAGAATTTCTCAGATTTCAGTTCCTTGACATAGTAAGGGCTGCATTCTAAGTCATTCAAAAGAGATTTTCTTTTCCTAATCTTAAAGATGTGTAAAGGATAAGATCTACCTGCTTAATCTTTCAGCCTCTTCTAGGAAGTAGCAATCCTGTTTGGTAAAAATTTTTAAGCCTCTTTACCCTTGTTCCATCTTTTATGTTTCTTAGAGCCCTTCTTGTAGGATACTCAATACATTTCCCATCCCTGCCAAGTCCTTATTTTTCCATATTCTTTTTACTTTGTTTGTTTTTCATTGGTTATATTATGTAACATTTTAATAATTTTATTGTTCTTTAGTGGCTCCTTTCCAAATTTTATTGGTGTTTTAAAAATGAACCCCTGTCAAATTGCTGTAGTTATGGTTTTTTCCCTCCCAAAACCTTGGGAAATTGAATATGTAAATTATACCTTATTTATGTTTATTTTGTTGCTTCCTGTTAATCTAAATATTTCATTATGAAAATGATTTATTTCAATCTTTCATGCTTCTAGATATATTTTAATCTCATAGATCTGAATTTTCTATGTTTACGATTGATATAATTCTTTTTCAGTTGCTTCTGTTGACTTTCACTTTTCATCTTAGGAGCTATTTAAAAATCAGTGAAAAATTCTTAGAATTTTAATTCTGAGCTGTAGTGTGATATCAGGGGAAATCTTTTAAAATTAGAGAACGTTGTAATTAGGAAAGTTAATACTTTACCTTTTAAGAAGATTTTTTGTTTTTCTTAGGATAGATAGTGAGTACCATGGATTTTACATATGACACTTAGGACTGGTTTTCCATCTCCTTCATGACTGTGGAATTCTTTTTTTAGTTCCTTTTTTTTTTTTTCCCTCCCTTCCTGCAGGTGCCATTCACTATCCGTACTCTGTTGTACTCAGAATACGAGGGCAGGAGACCTGCCTAAAATCAGAATTCTTTTGGGGATAGGAAGGTTCAAATATTACTTGCCCATTATACTTTTTATGCATTTAAGGTAATACCATTTTAAGAAGCAGTTTTTAAACAAGGTTGACTTAAGAAAATCAGTGTGTAATACTTTACTGGGAGATATTTGTGTTGAACTATTTCTCGTAAGTTATATATAAATAATATTTCAAAATCAAATTATTTTGTTTTTTAAAGGGGTCCTGTTGTGAGTTATTTTATAAAGTGAAGCTATTCCCTTTTTGTTTCTGTGCAAATTTTTACTTGCTGGATTTGCATGTTTCACACATATAGTCATGCGCTGCATAATGACGTTTTGGTCAACGATGGACTGCATATACGATGGTGGCCTCATAAAAGTATAATACTGTATTTTTACTATACCTTTTCTATGTTCAGATACAGAAATACGACTGTGCTACAGTTGCCTACAGTATTCAGTATAGTCACATGCTGTCCAGGTTTGTAGCCTAGGAGCAATAAGCTTTACCATATAGCCTAGGTATGTCATAGGCTATACCATCTAGGTTTGTGCAGGTATACTCTTATGATGTTCACACAATGACAAAATTGCCTAACTGCACATTTCTTAGAATGTATCCCTGTTGTTAAGCAACACATGACTGTATTTGTAATTCTTTTCTTTAAAGAACATTTTGAGAGAATGCCAAAAAAGGGTCCTGGCCCACGACGTTGGAATCTTAACATTTTCTTCTGTTTTCTCTAGCTCTTTGTGCTATGGAAGTGCTTCCTCTTGCACTACCTTCTCCACCTCGTCAATTATCAGAATCAGAAAAAAGTCGAATGGAGGACCAGGAGGAAAATACTTTAAGAGAGTTGCGGTTGTTTCTCAGGGATGTAACCAAGAGGCTGGCCACAGATAAACGCTTTAACATCTTCAGCAAACCGGTGGATATTGAAGAGGTCTTGTTTCAGTAGTGTGCAAACAGTGAAGTTGAACTGGCTAAAAGAAAAAAATATTGACATCTTTTTTTGGAAGGAAAAAAAAGCAAAGGCATGGATGAATATTACCCCTAGCCTATAAAATTTTAATCCATGTGATAACTACCGATGTCATCAGCAAACATCTGGTGACTTTTGGATGAAATTAGCGACCAATTTATATTGGCCTCTTAATTATTATTAACCTTTGTGGTCTCTTACTCTTCGATTTAAGAGGATTAAAGGTTGCCTTAGTCAAATATCCATACTAGATTATTTTTATTCCAGGATAAATTCTGCTGTCAAAGAGTATATTGGTATTAACCAATCAATACCAGTTAATACTGGCATTTCCCAAATTATGTATACCTCATCAAAAGAGGTAGCTAAAAACCTGAAATTTCTTTGTCTTTCATATTTTGGAAATGCCTGTGGCTGGGATGCTGTTTGAAGTTAAAACATATCCCGTGCAACTAAATTATTTTTCTTTCTAAGGATTTTCTCTGCTCCCAGTGGAAAATTTCTCACTTTATATGTGTATTATTTTGTGTGCTTGTGGGAGCATGGTTTGTGATGATGAGAAAAGAAATTTTCCATTTGGGAATCTAATACTATCAACTACATTTTTGGTTTTTGTTTTATCCTGGGATAATGTAGTGTGTGGATGAACACAATGTAATCTTTACTGGCCTCTTTCTTATAGTTCAGACTCCATGTTTGAACAGCTTTGGTGTTTTTAGTTTTTATTCATTTCTTTTTTTAAAAAAATGAATTATGGGTGATTCAGGGTTTAATGTTGTATCCTAATTGTGAAATCTGTGCTTTTGGACCTGAGCAGATACCTTTGAAACCATTACCTCATCTGTTACTAGGAAGAATGAGCTAGCATTTACATTCCTCCCCCCTGGCAAGTCTGAAAAGAAATACTTTCCCCCCTTTTTGGAATGAAGAGACTATCTATAATTTTATTTGTACCTTTATCCACAATACACTGTTTTTTCCATTTGATCCTCTTATCAACCTTGTAGGATCATTATTATTATTCTTACTTTGCAGTTGAGGAAACAGACTTGTTGGCAAGTGACATAGCCAAGACTTGAAAGTTTTTTAAAATTCAAAGCCCACATTCATTATCATAGCTACTTTATATCTTTCCACTGGGATAACAGGACATGCCTAATTGGCTTTTTAAATTAATAAATATCAGTTTATATTGCTGGGTCATCCCCCCCCCCATAGTGTTTTTAAATAATTTTAAAACTATCAGCCGATTAAAAAATTATTTTAAATAAATGTGATATGTGTGTGTGCCCTTTCTTCCACTCCCCTATTTGGTATATTTGGACTCTAACACTTCTTAAAGGATAGGGGCTTGCCCCCAACTCAACTTCCCATGCTGAGAGTAAACCAATTTTGCTTTTGCTCAGGAAAACTCTTTTCTTTCTAATCAAAGAAGATTTGTCAGATTTTCAAATGCCATCTGTAATAGTTTTATAAATGACGGTAAGGGGATAGAAAATGTTGGTCAGATAAATATTTTATTTAGGGTTGTATTTCTCTTCTTTTCTCCTTTATCTTTCTTCTTAGGTTCGTTCTGCTCTTAAGCTGAGAACATAGGAGTCTCTGGGAAGGATAGAGAGGGGAAAACAAGATAACCTAAAACAAAAGTTTTTATTTAACTAATGAATTTAAAATGTCTGAAAACTTTATCAAATTCCAAAGCAGACTGCAGAGAAAGCAAAACTTTAGAAAATAAATGTTAAATTTAAAATTAAGCATAGAGTGGTAACATTTATAGTCTTTAATAATATACATTTTATAGTGCTTTTTAGTTTATAAAACAGTTTCCACTTATACACAGGCATTTATGTCAAATACCAGAAGCAGGAATCCAGCTAATATCTTCTGAGGTAGTTTGTTTCAGTATAACTCTGCTACCTCCCTTATAGGGAGATTGACTGGTTTTTCAGTTCCTAAAAGGTGAAAAATAAAGCACACATACACTTCTACTTAATATTTTTTATAAGTAATCCTAAACATTAAAAAACATATAAATTACATATATGTGCGTGTGTGTGTGAATGTGTAAATTTAAAAATAATGGTATCGATGCCATCTGAAACTTCATAGAGCAGAACTTAACCATCTCCCCAGAAATCTTTCCTGGACTAATTTTAGACATTACTGCTAAGACTGCTGTTATAGCAAACCTATTTACTTGATTTGAGATTTGCATTGGGGAAGGCAGTAGATACATAAGTTGCTAACACTTTCTTGTTGGTCAGGGATACTCAATTTATTGGGCAAATCATGACGTAATATCTCCTGTTTAGGGTTATCTCACAGAAAATCAGCACAGAAAGCAGCATGTTTGTTTGTTTGTAGATTTCTTTATACTTAGGGACAAATCCAGCAGATCTCGTACTGGTTAGGAAAACTATACTTAATTTTCTTATATAATTGACTCTAAATGTTTGTGATGACTCCAAAGGAGTGGAAAATACTTTCCATGAAATAGTTCACTCTAGAAAACTGAAAAAGAAAATTTTTGTTGAAAATTTAAAGAGATTTATCAGAATAACTTATCTCATAGTATGAAAAGTCTTTGCTTTTTATTTTCCTTAATTTTTTTCCTGAAGTCATATTTATTGATGCTCATTGGGAACTTTTGCCCATACATTATCTTCCCGGATATGCCCGAAGGATTAAAAAAAAAAAAAAAAAGCTGACATGGTTTCAAATTTTAAGAACAGAAACATTTCAGAGTTGATTTAGGTATGACTTGGAAACTGAAGCTTTCATGGAAAGTATGACAGATAGTAACTTTGGTAGCATAAATAGCGCTGCAATTTTATCTTTATAAATTATTTATTTGATATTTAGATTTAATTTTTAAAGAACTTTGTTTTTATTTTGTGTTTTTATGAACTGAGATGATGTGAAAAACTGGAAGTAATTTTTATTAAAATATCTGTTTTAGGTTTCAGATTATCTTGAAGTAATCAAGGAACCAATGGACTTATCAACAGTAATAACTAAAATTGATAAACATAATTACCTGACTGCAAAGGATTTCCTGAAAGATATTGACCTCATCTGTAGCAATGCTTTAGAGTATAATCCAGATAAGGACCCAGGAGGTAAGGATGCATAGGGCAAGGTTCCCCTTGATAATCAATCAGAAGACAGTTTACCGTTTAAATACTAAGTCATGCCTGTGTTCTAGATAGATAATTTTCATGACCTGTTGTTTTTCAAAACTTCTCAATAAGAAGCTCATAGCCTACATAAAAATAATGTGTTTAAAGTAGAGAATTGTATAGTTGTAGGTATTATTTTCAGGGGTTTGTTTCTTCATTTACCTTCTACTTTTTATATTTACATTGTAATTTGAGAATTTAATTGAAAATATATTAGTCAACAATTGCAGGGCTGATAAAGATTCAGAATTTCGAATTCATGGAAATCCATAATAGGATCAGTTTATGTGTCAAAAGATCCTTTTATGTGGAATGTTATCTGTTCTTTATGTAGAATGTTATCTGTTCTTTTGATTGTTGGGATTTCTATGTAACTGTGTTATTTTACTCCTAATCCATCCTGTATTCAAGTGTATAGTCCCAACTTTTGTTATCGCTCTCCAGGGAAGACTGCCAGGAATATATCTGCAGTAAAACAAAATGAGGTGATTTATTATACTGAGGAAGAATATGTGTCATAGGGAACCATATA
The DNA here is from genome assembly GCF_000001405.40 of Homo sapiens. NCBI lineage: Eukaryota > Metazoa > Chordata > Mammalia > Primates > Hominidae > Homo > Homo sapiens. The sequence continues at coordinate 23,782,276 of NC_000002.12, read as the reverse complement.
GGATTTGGACTTGCGTTAAGTGATTTTGGTTAGAGTATAAGGAAGTGGGGCTTTGCAGTGGATTAGATGCTGTTAGAAAGTAGGAATAATTTTAAGAACCTAGAAGGCAAGAAAATGGAGCAAGGCTAATAAAGCTGTGATTGATAAAGAAACAGAAGTTGGCTGGGTGTGGTGGCTTGCACCTGTAATCCCAGCACTTTGGGAGGCCGGGGTGAATGGATCACTTGACCTCAGGAGTTAGCAGGCCAGCCTGAGTAACATGGCAAAACCTCGCCTCTACAAAAAAATTACAAAAATTAGCTGTGTGTGGTGGTTGCGCACTTGTAGTCCTAGCTACTTGAGAGACTGAGGTGGGAGGCTCACTTGAGCCCTGGAGGTTGAGGCTGCAGTGAGCTGTGATCATGCCACTGTACTCCAGCCTGGGCAACATAGCGATAGCCTTTCTCAAAATAAAAAGGAAAGGAAAGAAAAGAAAGAAAGAAAAAAAAAGAAACAGCAGCCTTTCTCAAAATAAAAAGGAAAGACAAGAAAAAAAAAAAAGAAACAGCAGTCATTCATATTAGTCAGGATTATGTTTGGTCATTGGCTATTATTGTTTATTTTTATTTTTTTGAGATGGAATCTCCGTCTGTTGCCCCAGTTGGAGTACAGTGGCATGATCTCAGCTTACTGCAACCTCCGCCTCCTGGGTTCAAGTGATTCTCCTGGCTCAGCCTCCCGAGTAGCTGGGATTTCAGGCACCTGCCACCACGTCCAGCTAATTTTTGTATTTTTAGTAGAGATGGGGTTTCACCATGTTGGCTAGGCTGGTCTCAAACTTGTAATCTCAAGTGGTCTGCCAGCCTCGGTCTCCCAAAGTGCTGGGATTACAGGCCTGAGCCACTGTGCCCAGCCTGATTATTTATTTATTTATTTATTTATTTATTTATTTATTTATTTATTTTTTTGTGGTCAGGACAATGTTCATGTTTTGTCTGTGTTTAGACATGATTAGACAGAGTGGTTTAATTTTTCTCTTGACCCATCATGAGCACAGGGTGGCCTTGTCTGATACTGGTGTTCTGTGAAATTGTTTATGTTTAATTGTAGTACCTTGAGGCCTAGCTGATAGTGCCAGGCCAGCTCCTGGCTGTCAGGAGCCACTTTCTGTGAAATTGTTTATGTTTAATTGTAGTACGCCGAGGCCTAGCTGACAGTGCCAGGCCAACTCCTGGCTGTCAGGAGCCACTTTTCGCTTTTTCACTCTATTGAGAATTCTATTTATTTGATAGGTAATACTAAAAAAAAATGCTTCTTATTTTTAAAACATTCATTTAAGTTTTTGTTATCTAAAGATATTTAGAGTATAATTTGTGCTTTGTTTTGTTTTTTGTTTGAGACAGAGTCACTGTGTCACCCAGGCTGGAGTGCAGTGGCGCGATAGTGGTTCACTGTAACCTCCGCCTCCTGGATTCAAGTGATTCTTTCTCGTGCCTCACCCTCCCGAGTAGCTGGGACTACAGGCACGTGCCACTACGCCCAGCTAATTTTTGCATTTTTAGTAGAGATGGGGTTTCATCATGTTGGCCAGGCTGGTCTTAAAGTCCTGACCCCAGGTGATCTGCCCCTCTCGGCCTCCCAGAGTGCTGGGATTATAGGTGTGAGCCACCGCGCCTGGCCTGTGCTTTGTTTTGTATCTGTATTTTGAGGCAGTGGTTCTCAACCCAGGCCATATGGTAAAATGACCTAGATTTCTCAATTTCACATGAAATTAGATATTTTTTGCTTCAGTTTCAACCATAATAAATCACAGATTCTATAATTGCAAAAACTGCAGTTGTTTTGCATCAACCCAGTAATTTCCAAGTTAGGAGGCAGAATAAAATTTTGGATGGCTGGACTTCCTATGTAACAGTTTTTCAGCTTTATGTTATTTGCCTCTTATAGTTTTTGCTGTTTGTTTGCTTTACCTCTTTTTAAGTTATTTTATATAACACACACACACACACACACACACACACACACACACAAGTATATACTTTTTTTTTTGGAGACAGCATCTTGTTCTGTTGCTCAGGCTGGAGTGCAGCGGTGTGACCTCATCTCACTGCAACCTTTGTCTCCTGGGCTCAAGCAATCCTCCCACCCTAGCCTCCTGGTAGCTGGGTAATACAGGCACACGCCACCACACCTGGCTAATTTTTGTGTTTTTGTTTGTAGAGAAGAGGTCTCGCCATGTTGCCCAGGCTGGTCTCAAACTCCTGGGTTCAAGTGATCTGCCCACCTTGGCCTCCCAAAGTGCTGGTATTACCCATGTGAGCTAGTGCACCCAGCTTATATATATCTTATAGAAAAATATGCGAAAGTAGAACAAAGAAGAATATTAAAAACGTATTAATTCCATCACTTAGTGTTTTTTCTCTGTTTCCGTCCCCATCCACGGATATACTGTATGTAGAATATATACATGCATCTTAGTTTTACTAAAATGACTAGGATTTTTATAAATTTTGTCATTCCTATAATATTTTGTGAAAAGCTTATTAATTAATATATTTCTCCAACATTATTTTAATCATATGTAGATCTCATATAACAGCTAATACCCGATTGTTGGACATATTAGATTTTTTAGTTTTTTCCTCTTTTATAAACGCTGATAAATATCTTTGTAATGCAAATTTTATGTTGATTCTTAATTATTTCCTTAGAATAAGTTCCTTAAAGTGAAATTTCTGGATCAAAGAATATATATCTTTTAAGACTTTTAATCTGTACTATTAAAATTTTCTCTCAAAATTCTTAAAAATTATACCAGCAGCGGGCTGGGTGCAGTGGTTCATGCCTGTAATCCCAGCACTTTGGGAGGCCGAGGTGGGTGGATCACGAGGTCAGGAGATCGAGACCATCCTGGCTAACACAGTGAAACCCTGTCTCTACTAAAAATACAAAAAATTAGCGAGGCGTGGTGGTGGGCGCCTATAGTCACAGCTACTCAGGAGGCTGAGGCAGGGGAATAGCATGAACCCGGGAGGCGGAGCTTGCAGTGAGCTGAGATCACGCCACTGCACTCCAGCCTGGGAGACAGAGCGAGACTCTGTCTCAAAAAAAAAAAAAAAAAAAGAAAAGAAAAAAAAAATTATACCAACAGCATCAGGGTCACTGTTAGCCACTATAGCAATTTTTGGTAAGTAAGAGAACCTTCTTCAGTTGGATGCCATCCTGTAACAGGATGGATAGTAAAGCATGGGCTGGATGTCGGCCCCATTTCACTCCCTTCCCTTGCTGGGGTCCTATGTGAGGGTACAACCCGTACAACTGTATATGTAGTGGTTTTGAGCAGTGTGTGAGAGTGCTTGTGTGCCTATACCTTCAGCCTGGTTTTCAAGACGCAGAGACTGCTGTTATTGTGTAATATGTAATGAGAATATGGGCTTTGGATTCAGACCTAGGCTTTAGTCCCATTTCTCCTATTTCCTAGCTCTTTAACTTTGATCAAATTAAGCCTTCTGAATTTTAGTTTCCTCATCTGTAAAATGGGGATGATAACAACATTCTTAAATGGGATGGTTGTAAGAATTAAATGAGCAAGTGTATTAGGTTGAACCTTATGAAATTGCCATTTTCATATGGTTCATCCTAAATATCTTAAGCCTTTAGCAGAGTAGCTGGGACATGATAAGAGTTCCATAAAGGTTAGCTGTTTGTGTTTGTATTCTTATGATCATTATTTAAATTGTGCTTTAATTTTTTTATAAGTTGGTTTCTTAGTGGGTACCTGCATATTTGCTCTAGAATGACCCTTTATACTTTGTGCTTATTACATTCCCTGGACCATACTTTAAATGTAATTCTATTTTGAAACAAATCTAAGGGCTGGTAGTGAAAATGAATTTAAGTGCTTAGAAAAAGCCAGTTGAGAAGATCAATCCATATTTTTCCCTTCTCAGTAATTAATTATAACCACATTGATATTAATATTTTAAGGAAGAAGTAATGGTTTCTGGTGCATAATAATATTTTACTACAAAATGCAGTTCCACAATGAAAGAATATGGCTCTGCTTTCTTCACTTGTTCTGATACAAAAAGTGATATTGTTCAAATGCATTATTTTGGCTGTGTTTAGATTTTTTTCATATCTTTCATCAAGCAACCTCTTTTTTTTTTCTTAGCAACAGAACCACTTGTTATGTTCCAGAAAAACATCCTCAGGGTGTGTTGTGTAGCAAGTGGAAATTACATGAATGTTGTATTACGTTTACAAGTTCCCATGAGTATTTGGAAGCTTACAGTGTTCTCTTTTACAGAACACTTGGCCATTTGGGGAAAAAACTAACATATACATAGAAGACAAAAGCCAACATTTTGAAAGATATACACGTTGCCTAAGTGTTGACCCAGATTGTCTCCCTTGAGGATGATGGGAACAGAAATTAAATGATGGGAACAAGAAGAAATTGACCTGTGTTCTAAATGTGACCAGTATCAGATATTTGGCCCTAATTACTACAGTATAGATACATGATATATTATGTTTGGCTCATCCCCATTCTCGGTCTTGCAGTTCACCCCTCCTATATCCCCCAGGCCTATTCATATGCTATATACCATCATTTGACTAGTTTTGCTGAAATTTTCGCCCTAATGTTTTAGTTGTCTCAAAATCTTCTATGTTGTTCAAATTGTATAGGATTAAAGCCCCCAGATTCACCCAAACTTTTGGAGCCCTCTGTGTTTTGCTCTTAATACATTTCTAAATTTATCTGCCACAGTTGTATTTCATGAGTTGTTTCAACCAAACTCACTCATTTTTCTGTTAGTGTTTATGAGTACTATCTGCTAATTACTGAGCTGGGTGCCTAGACTACAAAGATGACTCTGACAATTCTTGCCTTTTGAGACCAAGATATAGATATAGATATAGATATAGATATAGATATAGATATATCAGTATTATGATAGATCCATAATGCCTACCGGATAACTACTATGTGGCAGGCATTATTCTATATGTAATTGTATTAGTTTACTAGTGCTACCATAACAAAATGTAACAGAAATTAATTTTCTCACAGTTCTAGAGGTTATCAATTCAAAATAAAAGTGTCAGCAGGTTGGTTTCTCCTGAGGCCTCTTTTCTTGGCTTGCAGATGGTGGCCTCCTTCTCTCTGTGTCCTCACATGGCCTTTTCCCTATGCTTGTGTGCCCTTGGTGTTTCTTGGTGTGTCCAAATTTTCTCTCCTTGTAAGGACATCAGTCAGATTGGATTAGAACCCACCCATATGTCCTCATTTTAATTATCTTTTTAAAGGCCTTGTCTCCAAATACAGTCATATTTTAAGGTACTGGGAGTTAAGCCTTCCACATATAAATTTAGAGGAGATGCATTTCAGCCTGTAACAGTTATATGAAACACAATCCCTACTATATAGAAAGTCATCAATTTTTAGAGATGATAAATACACTTATCAAATTATTGGTGATTATAATAACAAATATTATTAAGATAAAGGGATACCATAGAGGTGGCAATCATGAATAATGTCTTAAGGTGCCAGCAGATGATTATAAGACAGTGTCATAAGGTCTTATTAGAAATACGTTACCTGGTTAGTGGAGCACAGAGGAGAAGACACTACCTGGAGATTAGCAAGATTGGGAAGGGCATTGACTCTAGGCTGAGGAAACAGAGGTATGAAAAAAACAAGTCTGGAGAATAGAGTGCCTCTGTGGAGGAGTAGTGGGAAACTAATTTGCTTCTCTACTCACTGACTCAACGTTTATTGAGCATCTTTTTGTTAAATATTCTCTGTGTATAAATCCTGTTTAAGGCTAGAGATACACAGATGGTTAAGACACAGCCTTGACCTCTTAGTATCAAATTTGGGGTAGAGGTCAAGGCAGTTGTAAGATGGAGGTTGGAACATCAGTTAAGATTTAATTGCAGTGGCTGCAGGGATTAAATATAGAGGTCTTAGTGACCAACCATTTAAATATGGTGGACAAAAACCTAGAATGATCCCTGAGGTTTTGGTCTGGTTAGAGGAATCTGGGAAGGTAAACCAATGGAGGAACAGATTTATGGGCAGGATGTCAAATTCAATTTGGGACATGTTAGTATGAGTCATATTTGGTAAACCCAGACAAAATGCAGACTTTATTTATTTATTTATTTATTTTTGAGACGGAGTCTTGCTCTGTTGCCAGGCTGGAGTACAGTGGCGTGATCTCGGCTCACTGCAACCTCCGTCTCTCGGGTTCATGCGATTCTCCTGCCTCAGCCTCCCCAGTAGCTGGGATTACAGGCGTGTACCATCACACCCAGCTAATTTTTGTATTTTTAATAGAGATGGGGTTTCACCATGTTGGCCAGGATGGTCTCGATCTCTTGACCTTGTGATCTGCCTGCCTTGGCTTCCCAAAGTGCTGGATTACTAGTTGTATATGTGGTTCTGGAGGTTGAAAGAAGTGGGCAGGAGATATGGTTGGGAGTCATCATCGTAGAGGAGTGAATGAGATTTCATAGACAGTGTGTAGAATGAGAAGAGAGAGGAGCCCAGGAGGGCCCCTTTTCTAGGAAATATGGGTCCCAGTTCTTGCCCAGTGTAAGTCCCAGTCTTACTGTTTCAGGACCCTTGTCAAATGTATCGCCTCTACTGGGAGTATTTACATGTTTTTCTTTTTAAATCAGTTTTATTGAGATATAAGCAACATACAAGAAAATGTACTTTTTAATAGCATGTAGCTTTTAAAATCACATATCGTTTTAAAATTTCACCTACCCGGCTGGGCACGGTGGCTCACGCCTGTAATCCTAGCACTTTGAGAGGCCAAGGCGGGCGGATCACGAGGGCAAGAGATCGAGACCATCCTGGCTAACATGGTGAAACCCCATCTCTACTAAAAATACAAAAATTAGCTGGGCATGGTGGTGTGCGCCTGTATTCCCAGCTACTTGGGAGGCTGAGGCAGGAGAATCGCTTGAACCTAGGAGGTGGAAGTGCAGTGAGCTGAGATCATGCCACTGCACGCCAGCCTGGAGACAGAGCAAGACAACGTCTCAAAAAAAAAAATAAAACATAAAAAAATAAAATAAAATTTACCTACCCTTCAGGGAATACTAAAATGCTAAGTTCATGAAAGATTTTTCTGATTTCCTTCCAGTTGTAAGTACCCCTTCATCTCTGAATCTCATAATGTAACTTTTCTGAGACATTTATTACTTTTTTGCCCATAGTTATTTGTTTACTTATCCTCATCCTTTATTTTAGACTCGAAGCTGATTGAGAACAGGATCTGTATAGGCATCTTGTGTAAAGCATGTTCTTAATAAATGTGGCCGATGAGTAAATTTTATTTATTATTCTATTTTTATTTTATTTACTTATTTATTTTCAGACAGGGTTTTGCTCTTGTTGCCCAGGCTGGAGCACAATGGCACGATCTCAGCTCACTGCAATCCCCGCCTCCCGGGTTCAAGCGATTCTCCTGCCTCAGCCTCCTGAGTAGCTGGGATTATAGGCATGCGCCACCATGTCCGGCTAATTTTTGTATTTTTAGTAGAGACGGGGTTTCACCATGTTGGTCAGGCTGGTCTTGAACTCCTGTCCTCAGGTGATCCACCCGCCTCAGCCTCCCAAACTGTTGGGATTACAGGTGTGAGCCACTGTGCCTAGCCTCTATTTTTAGATACTAACTCAAGGAATCTCAGATTAAGTAGAAATTATAAAATGGAGACATGGTAACATTCTGTAGAAATATGCATAAATACTAATAATATATAAATATGACCTGAACCAGTAAATATAGTTAAAATGTTTTTCTGTTTTTTGTTTTCTTTGGAGACAAGGTCTCATGCTGTTGCCTGGACCTGAGTACAGTGGCATGATCATGGCTCACTGCAGCCTTGACCTCCTGGGCACCAGTGATCCTCCCACCTCAGCCTCCCGAGTAGCTAGGACTACAGCTACAGGACTTACAACCATGCCTGGTTAATTTTAAAATTTTTTGTAGAGATGGGATCTTGCTAGGTTGACTATGCTGGTCTCAAACTCTTCAAGTGATCCTCTTGCTGCATCCTTCCAAAGTGTTGAGATTACAGGTGTGAACCACCATGCCCAGCCAAATTTCTTATTTATGAAATTATTTGGGATGAAAAATCATACCATAAAAATGAGCTTTTCTTAAAAATATGGTTACTCTTAATAATTTTGTTGAACAAAATCTCAGCTAATATACTTCTGGGATTTTTTTTTCTTCATAATGAACTAAAAGTAAAAGTTTACCAATTACAAAAGAAACATCAACACAGTGAAATTGCTGTTACATTCATTAAAGTACTGCTTCTATTAATTTTATAGATACTCATCTATATGTCCTAAGTAGCCAGTACTTTTTGCTGAAGACAAATGTAAGTGGTAATATCTTTATTTTATAGATGAGGAGATGGGGGCTCAGAGAGGTTATATAATTACCTGTGTGCAAACCCACAGATGTTATATGGCACAACTGAATGGATTGAGAGCTGTCTTGACTTCAAAGCCAATATATGGGGTTTTTTTGCTGTGCTTATGTAACTTGGAAATTACATGGATTTGGACAGTCTTAAAATCTTAAAGTATGAGACAGAGTGAAAACTCATAAATATATAGTTTCTATTCCCACACAATTTTAAACCTAGAGTTTTAAGTGATGAGTGAGTCTCTGAATCCACAAACAAAATTATATTCATGTGCAGTTTTCAACTTTTATTCTATTCTTTTTTTCCCTCCCGCAAGAGGGGGTCTCACTCTGTTGCCTAGTCTGGAATGCAGTGGTGCGATCATGGCTTACTGTAGCCATCATAGCTGACTTGAGACATCGACCTCCCTGGCTCAAGTAATCTTCCCACTTCAGTCTCCTGAATAGCCGGGACCACATGAGCCACCAAGCCTGTCTAACTTTTTAATTTTTTGCAGAGATGGGGTCTCCCTATGTTGCTCAGGCTTGTCTGAAACTCCTGGCCTCAAGCAATCCTCCTGCCTCAGTCTCCCAAAGTGTTGAGATTACAGATGTGAGCCAACATGCCCAACCATGTTCTGTTCTTATATGAATCCAGGTCAAAAAGATTAAGAACCTAGGATTATCATAGACATCCCTTCTACTTTGAATATTCTTCTAAGTTTGTGATTATATGCTATGTATAATCTTAGACAATCTTCTAAACAATGATTGAAAAGAATTATAATGATAGGCACATGAAAAAGCAATGCCTTGGCCCGGCACAGTGGCCCACACCTGTAATCCCAGCACTTTGGGAGACCGAGGTAGGCAGATCGCTTGAGCCCAGGAATGTGAGGCCAGTGTGAAACCTGGGCATGGCAAGACACCATCTCTACAAAAAGTACAAAAATTAGCCAGGCGTGGTGGCGCATGCTTGTGGTCCTATTAATAGCTGCTCGGGGCACTGAGGCAGAGAGGACTGTTTGAGGCCAGGAGGTTGACGCTGCTATAAGGCATGATCATGCCACTGCACTCTAGCTTGGGTGACAGAGTGAGACCTTGTCCCCCACCCCCATCCCCCCAAAAAAGCAGTGTTCCCTCTCAAATGCAGATTTTTTTAAAAGAATATATTCCTTGTCTTCCATACTAGTGGGAAATTTTTATGGATTTTTTTTCTTCATTTATTCTTTTTTCTTGCTTAATTTAGGGTAGTGTTGGGATAGAAGATACACTTTATAAAAAGCAGAAAGACCAATCATTGAGTTATTTTAGAGACAATATGCCAGATCCATACCTTTAGATTTAATCTTACCTTTTTTTTTAGTTTCTCTTCATTCAAGCCGAGGTAGAAAGCCAGTGGTGGAAAGCTGTGGTATTGCATAGGCTACAAACATTGTATTGTCAACTTGAAAGTATAGCTACTTCTAAGGATGTTGATGTTCATTGTAGTTTTTTATTTATAGTAGCTAAAATTAGAAGCAACTTAAAGCTTCCAAAAAGAGAACAATACTTTTGAAAAATTAAGGCACATCCTACTTTGGATTGTTGCACAACTATTAAAGTTTGGTTTTCAAAGAGTGTTTAAAAGACACCAGGAGACTTCTTCTTTTCTTCTTCTGGCCAAGATGAAGTAAAAGGGACTCGATTTATTTACCCCCTCACATGACACAATGAAAAAAAAAATGAACAAAATATATTTAAAGAAAAACTGTTTGGAAGGCATTGGACACCAGGCAACACAGGACAGTGATTCCCAAAAGATAGAAACAAATAAGAGGAGTAGTGTGGTTGCCTGGAGACAATTTCCAGATACCAGCCCCAGGAGGAGCAGCCCAGGCATATTCTGGAGGTCCTCTGAACTGGGGAGCCAGACCTGGAATCTGAAGAGGCCACAGTGGTTTGGGTTTGCAGGGCAGATTACCAGAAAGAAGAAAGCTGCACAGAGAGAACACTCTGGCTATCTCCAGGAGGTCCTACCCTAGTGTTTAACTAAGTACTGGTTAGTGCATATGTGTGAGAAAACTATCTGAGGCCAGAGAAGGAGAGGGAATATTCCTTAAAGTTCACACAGGGGCCGCAATAGAGTTAGAGCTAATAAACCAACAAGGAGATAAAATGGAATCATAAAAAGGTATACAGTAATTCCAAGAGAAGTGAGAAAAAGAGGAAAAAGGGAACAAAAAACATATAGGCCAAGTAGAAAATAAATAGCAACCATATCAATAATCACATACATCACATTAAAAGTAGATGCTCTAAACCAGGGGTCAGCAGACTATCATCAAGCTGACAGCCTGTTTTTGTAAGTCAAATTTTTTTACTGGAACAAAATTATTCCCCCTATCCCCGCTTTTCAGTTCAGTGATAAATGATGTCTACAAAAAGCCTACATTTCTCATCATACTAGTGATGAAAGAGTAAGTACTTTCTCCTTAAGATCAGAAACATGACCAGGATGTCTGCTCTTACCACTTCTATCAACATTAAACTGGAGCTTTCAGCCAATGCAGTAAGGTAAGAAAAAGAAATAAAGGCATCCCTACTTCCAGAAAGAAAGAAGTAAACCTGTTGTTGTTTGTAGACGTATGATGTCTACATAGAAAATCCTATGGAATATTTAAAGAAGTTATTAGAACATGTAAGTGAAGTTAGGGTTGCAGGAGACAGGATCAGCATGTAAAACACTTGTTTTTCTATATACTAGCAACAAACAGGAAATTGAAATAACATCAAAAAATAACATGAAATATAGATAAATCTGACAAAAGGCATGTAAGACTTATACATTGAAAACTATAAAATATTAGTGAGATAAAGAAGACCCAAATAAATGGAGATATATGTCATGGCTTATGGATTGGAAGACTCAACATTATGAAAATGTAATTTCTCTCCAGATTGAACCACAGGTTCAACACCATCCTATCAGAATTCCAGCAGGCATTTGATAGAAATTGACAAGCTTATTCTAAAATTCATATGAGGATGAAAAGGACCTAGAGTCAAAACAACTTTGGAAAATAAAAACAGCTGGAAGACTTAATACTACTTTATTGTAAGACTTAAAAAGTTACAGTAATCTAGACAGTGTATGTTGGCATGAAGTTTGACAAATAGGTCAATGGAATAGGATAGAGTCCTGAAATAGATGCACACATAGAGGGTCAATTGCTTTTTGACAAAGATGTAAAGTCAGTTCAATGAAGAAAGTAGATTAAATTTCAATAGACAGTGTTGGAACAATTGGATATCAGCATGCAAAAAAAGACTTTGTATGCAGAAGTTGACTCACAATGGATCACATACCTGTATACAAGAACTTAAAACCTATAGCCAGAATATTAAGTCTCAGAATTTAATAATAACCCAATTTAAATAATGGACATAAGAGCTGAAGACACTTTACCAAATAAGATATACAGAAGACAAATACACACATGAAAAGATACTCATCCTCATTAATCTTTTTATTTATTTATTTATTTGTTTATTTATTTTTTGGAGACAGAGTTGCTCTGTCACCTAGGCTGGAGTGCAGTGGCATGATCTCAGCTCATTGCAACCTCCGCCTCCTGGGTTTAAGCAATTCTCCTGCCTCAGCCTCCCGAGTAGCTGAGATTGTAGGCACACACCACCATGCCCAGCTATTTTTTTTTTTTGTATTTTTAGTAGAGATGGGGTTTCACCATTTTGGCCAGGCTGGTCTCGAACTCCTGACCTCAGGTTACCCGCCCGCCTCGGCCTTCCAAAGTGCTGGGATTACAGATGTGAGCTACTGTGTCCGGTCAACCTCATTAATCTTTAGTGAAATGCAAATTAAGACCACAGTGAGGCCGGGTACAGTTGCTCACGCCTGTAATCCTAGCACTTTGGGAGGCCAAGGTGGGTGGATCACCTGAGGTCAGGAGTTGGAGACCAGCCTGGCCAACATGGTGAATCCCTGTCTCTACTAAATATACAAAAATCAGCTGGGTGGGGTGGCACACACCTGTAATCCCAGCTACTCAGGAGGCAGAGGATGCAGTGAGCCCAGATTATGCCACTGCACTCCAGCCTGGGCGACAGAATGAGACCCTGTCTCAAAAAAAAAAAAAAAAAAAAACCCACAGTGAGACACCATTAAACACTTGTAATAATCGTCTAAAACTGAAAAGACCATATCAAATGTAATCAAGGATGTAGAGTAACAGGAACTATGATGCACTGTGGTAGGAATGTAAAATGAAACAGCTGACTTGGAAAACAGTCTAGAAGTTTCTTAGAATGTTTAACATATGTATTATAGTCATCCCTCCATATGTGTGCTTTGAAACCTGTGGATACAAAGGGCTGACTGTACTACCTCATTTTATTTATTTATTTATAAATAAATAAAGAGACGCTGTCTTCCTCTGTCACCCAGGCTGGAGTGCAGTGGCGCTGTCTCGGCTCACTGCAACCTCTGCCTCCTGGGTTCAAGCAATTCTCTGCCTCAGCCTCCTGAGTAGCTGGGATTACAGGCGCCTGCCTCCACGCCCGGCTAATTTTTTTGTGTTTTTATTAGAGATGGGGTTTCACCATGTTGGTCAGGCTGGTCTTGAACTCCTGACCTCGTGATCCACCCACCTTGGCCTCCCAAAGTGCTGGGATTACAGGCGTGAGCCCCCGTGCTCGGCCACTACCTCATTTTATATGAGAGATATAAGCATCTGGAGATTTGATATCCAAGGGGAGATGGGGTCCTAGAACCAATCCCCTGCGGTTGCTGAAGAACCGTACCTATCATTTGACCTAGCCATTCCACCCCTTAGTATTAACCCAAGGAAAATTAACGTGTATATTTCCATACAAAGGTTTGTTCATCAATGTTTATAGTGACTTTGTTTATAATAGCCAAAACTCAGAATTATCACTAATGTCCACCAGCATGTGAATGGATAAACAAATTGTGTTATACCCATATAATGGATTAGTATTCAGCACTAACAAATAACGAAGTACAGATACATGCAAAAATAGGGACCAATAATTATTTTTATGCTTAAATAATTATGCTGAGTGAAAGAATCCTGATTAAAAATATTCTTTGTGATTCCACTCGTATATATAATTCTAGAAAATATAAACTGATCTATAGCAAGAGAAAGCAGATCCTTCATTGCTTGGGAATAGAGGGCTGTGAGGAAGGGTGAAGGGAGGAAAATCAAGGGTCACAAGAAACTTTTGGTGATGATAGATATGCTCATTGTCTTTTTTTTTTTTTGGAGACAGGATCTTGCTTTGTTGCTCAGGCTGGAGTGCAGTGGTGTGAACATGGCTCACTGCAGCCTCAACTCCCTTGGGCTCAAGCGATCCTGCTGCTTCAGCTTCTCAAGTAGTTGGGACCACAGGCATGCACCACCATGCTTGCCTAATTTTTGTACTTTTTGTACAGGGTGGAGCAGGTAATGGGAATGAGTCAGAGTGGAGACACGGTGGCTCGCCATGTTGCCCAGGCTGGTCTTAAACTCCTGGGCTCAAGCAGTCCTACTACCTTTCCCTCCCAAAGTGCTTTGACTACGGGCACGATCACTTCCCCTGGCCCATTGATTATCTTTATTGTTGTGGTAATGTTATGGATGTGTACTTACCTCAAAATGTATCAAATTGTATACTTTAAGTATGAGCAACTTATTATATGTCTATTATGCTTCAATAGATCTATTTTTAAACTTAGGGAAGTACAATATGTTAATAATGCAGATTACAGAATCATTGTGGTTTTTGTTCATAAAGAGAATTGTTGAGACACATATTCATGTGCTTACATGGTATCTCCATTGGGATATTTTTTAGGCATCTCCAAACTGAAATGCCTGAAGCTGAACTCTTTGAGATTACTCTCTAACTTCTTTTCCTCCTTTCCTCTCTATTCTGTTTTTTTTTTTGTTTGTTTTTTGTTTGTTTTTGCATCTTTATAAATAGTATGTCCGTCTCCCCATTTTTTATGCAAGAAGCTAGGAAATCATCTTTGATATTTATGTTACCCTCTTATCTACTTTATCACCAAATTGTGTCATTGAGAGCACATTTCAAATCTGTAATCTTGTCTTTCACCACCACCACCACCATTACCCCAGTTCAAGTCATCATCCTCTCTCACTAAAATAAAGCCTAGTGACTATGCTCCCTGGTGTTATTCTTGACTCCCCTCAATCCAGTGATCAGAAAACAACCACAGCAGATCTTTTCAATGATTTTCATTGCTCTTAGGATACAATCTGAAATCCTTTCAATATGATCAGTTTCTCTTTGCCTCTTGCTTATTATGTTCTGACTACTGTTATAAATAGTTTCAGTACCTCAAAAAGCACTTGAATATAAAATTTTCTTTTTAATTCTCAGCAAGGCAAGTTTTTCTATAGAAGGGTGCACCCTTACAGATGGAGTAATGGTGGGCGCCCACTTGGACAAGGGAGGGGAAGGGTTTATTATCCCTGATGCATGTGGCCCCCCACTGCTGTGTCCTTCTCCTGTTGGCTAGGGTTAGACCACACAGGCTAAACTAATTCCGATTGGCTAATTTAAAGAGAATGACGAGGTAAGTGTTTTGGCGGGAAAAATGGTTATGACAGAGCAGGTAATAGGAATGAGTTAGGGTGGAGTAGGTAATCGGAATGAGTCAGGGTGGAGCAGGTAATTGGAATGAGTCAGGGTAGAGCAGGTAATCGAAAAAGGTTGCTTTACGAGGAAGTTAAGTTTAAAAGTAGAAGGCAAAGAATTGAACATACTGACATATTGATTCTTTGAAAAGAAATTTAGAACTCATAACACTACACTGGCTGCATTTCAGTTTCTTGAAATCTCCAAACTCTTTACAGCAGGATTTTCTCACATGGTATTTTCTGAACCTGCACTAGTTGTTTTTTTTTTTTTCCCCCCTTACTCTTTCAGTAGCTACTCCAGTCTGTGCTTCAAGTGTCAGTTTAAATGCCTGTTCTTCAGAGAGTCTTCTTCCTGACTTGCTCAATCTAAATTGGAACCCACACCAGTACCCTGTAGGTTTTCTTCATAGCTGTTTTTCAGGGTGTTTTGCTTTTGGGTTTTTTCTTTTTTGGAGGGAGGAGGTGTTAATTTGGATGTATGAGAGATGATTTGTTCCTGTAGTGGTCTGAAAAAGTCCTTGAAAGTTGATATCATGTATGTTTTGTTCACTGCTGTGGGTGGCCACCATCCAGCTTTCCCTGGTGCAGTCGACAACATTTGTTGAGTGAATGTTTAGAGAAAATGTGTTGGAAGTAAATATCAGTGGTGCCTTTGAGTGGTGCATGTTTGGTTTTGTAAGATTACCACAATGAGCCATAATAACTTTCAAATCAGAAAAGTTATAAAGTGTCTCTGTAACTTTGTCTATACTGTTTGCCCTTACTAGAGAGGAAAAAGCAAATGTTGTTTTGCAACTCTGGATTCTTGCTCTTGATACTGTTAGAATATTAGTTACCTTGATATATTACTTGCCTTTTCATATTTCTGAGTTGCACAGATCTAGGGGGCACTGTTTATATTGTATTGTTTATGAATGGGAACTTCTGGATTAGTGTGAAGCAGAGGCTCCTCTTTTAGTACCATTTTTAGGCATAGTTTACCTGGAACCATGTTTATGCTTCTCTCCTGGATCTACCTACAATGTATACACCATCTTGTGCCCTTTAGCTTAGAAAGTCTTTCTGTATTTCTCTGTTTTTGTCACATTTAAAAAAAAATAAGTCACCTTTAAAATATATTGTATTCTTTAGCATAGTTTTGACCAATGTCAACTTAGGAGAAATTTAAGATTTTTTTGAATTCCTAATATTAATCTCTGACAACTCTGGGGCTGGGCATTTGGTGAATATCCTCTAAATACTTTTTAAATTTTTACTGAAAATCACATATTTCTGTTTTCAGAAATTTGAAACCATGTATCTTTTTCTTGTAATTCTCCAGACTGCTTCAGAAATGGTAATAGGTTTAGTCCTTTGAGGTTCTTAAAGTATAATTTTCAGAGAATTACTAACTTGACTGAGTAGCTTAGTATATTTATTTTTTTACCCATACTTTAAATAAACTTTTTCTCACCTAGCAATGCTTTTTATAATTTTGTTTGTATTCTTTTACTTTTTAAGATGTCCTTTGTTAATGTTATTTTATTTGTTTCTATAATAAATATATACCAACTTTTTTAACAGATAAAATAATTAGGCACAGGGCTTGTACCCTGAAGGACACTGCACATGCTATCATTGCAGCTGAATTAGATCCAGAATTTAATAAACTTTGTGAGGAAATTAAGGAAGCAAGAATAAAAAGAGGTAAGTTGTAGAAATAAACTTGGTACTGAAGCCTAGTGTGCTCTGTTCAGGCCAAGAGTACTTGAACGCTGTTTCTTTAGGATTGCTGGTATTATGAAAGTAATGTATTTAATGTATTTATTTAATTTCTGATACTAATGTGTTATGTAAATTCTCAAAGATATTTTACAACTTTACCTACTGTGAAAGTTTTAGTGTGATAGTGTGTATTACAGAAATAAAGTGTTTCTTATTGAAATTTGTTTTGTAGGAGTATATCTTTTTTAAGAATTGATTTCTAAATGGATTTAGATATTAGATATGAAAAGGTTTTATTTTTCATCAGTTTACTTTCTGGTACTTTAAAAACATGTTTAGGTATACTGTTTTTCCCACCCTAGTGAAATTTATATGCAATTTTGTTATTAGAAACACAGAATTAGCAATTGTGGTTTGTCAATTCAGTTTATAATCTTGTCCTTGAGGAACTCACATTTTAGTAGGAGAGAGAGAAATGTAAAACCAATCAAGTACAGTGTGGTGTATGCACTGGTTGAAGCATGTTCAGAGCACAGAGATGAGACCTCCCAGTAGGGAACCCAGCATTTTGATCAGAGTAAGGAGTGAATATAGAAGTGTTCTCTCTAATGGACTAGGGAGGCAGTGATAGAGGAGGAGGAGGTGTATTGCACACAGAGAAAACAATAGCATATGTAAAGGCACAGAGGTGTGTTAAACTGGTATTGCTAAAGAAATACAGAATGCTGGAAATAGGGCTCAAGAGGTGCGGGGTCTAGGACACAAAAATTATGAAGAAACTTTTCTTCTACCTTTTTAGAGAGCTCTTCCCTGACCACCTAATCTGATAGAGGCTTTGGTAGCATTTGGCATTATATTATTTGTTTTTTGATCGTGTCCTCCTTATTTAGGATATCAGCACTTTGAATGTCTTGTTTATATCTCTGCTCCAGTCCCTAGAACCCCATCTGGTATAAAACAGGTTTTCGGTAAATATTTGAGTAAATCAATGCCATGCTAAGGAGCTTGTGATTTATCTTGTAGATCAGTGTTTTCAAAAATGTCTGCCTATTACCCACTTCAGCTTAGACCTATGAATTAGATTCTCTGAGAATATTAAGGCCAAGAAATCTTTATTTGAACAAACTATCCAAGAGTTTTTATGTACACTAAAGTTTGATAGCCATAGGCAATAGAAATCATTGAAGGATTTTAAGCAGTGAAATGAATTGGTCGAATTGCCTTGGCGGGAAGAAGTAACATGGTTTCAATGTGCCAGGGTAGGAAGATGAAAGATCAGTTTAAAAGCTGTTGGAGCCCATTTGAAAATGGTTTGGCAATTTCTAAAAAATTAAACATGGATTTACTGTATGACCCAGTGATTCTACTCTTAGGAATCTACCCAAGAAAAATGAAAATATATGTCCACATAAACATTTGTATGTTCATAGGAGCATTGTTTATAATAACCACAAACTGGAAACAACCCAGATGTCTGTCAGCTGGTGAATTGGTAAAGAAAACATAGGATACCCATACAAGCGCATACTACTTAGTAATAAAAGGGAACAAAGTACTGTTACACAGTACAACATGGACGAACTTCAAAAACATGCTGGCTGAACATGGTGGCTCACGCCTGTAATCCCAGCATTTTGGGTGGCAGAGGTTGGAGGATCGCTTGAGCCCAGGAGTTTGAGACCAGCCTGGGCAACATGGCAAGATACCATCTCTACAAAAAAGTGAGAAATATTAGCTAGGCGTGGTGGTGTACACTTGTGATCCCAGCCATTTGGAAGGCCGAGTTGGGAGGATTGCTTGAGCCCAGAAGGTTGAGGCTGCAGTGAGCCATGTTCATGCCACTGCAGTCCACCCTGGGTGACAGAGCAAGATGTTGTCTCAACAAAAAAAACCCCAAAACATTATGCTAAGTAAAAATAGCCAGACCCAGAAGACTACATATTGTATGATTTCTTTTATATAAAATGTCCAGAAAAGGCAAGTCTATAGAGACAAAAAGTGGAGTAGTCATTGCCTGGGACAGTTATCCAAAATTGGATTGCTGTGGTGATTTTACAATTCTATACATCTACTAAAAACTATTTATTGTACACTTAAAACAGGTGATTTTTATGTTATATAAATTGTATCTCAGTAAAGCTGTTGGGGAACAAAAACCTGTTGGAGTAGTCCAGGGTTTTAATTAATGAAGTAGGAAGGGAGTTAGAAGAGATTAATATAAGTGAGATGTAGCCGCAGGGATGGAGAGCACTGTGAAGTGAAGGAAGAATAAAAACTGGCTGCCATATTACTGGTTGAGTGACTTAGTAGATACTAATACTCCCAATCTAGATAGGGAATCTATAAGAACAAACTGTTTTGTTTTGTAGGGAAAGATAAACCAGTTATCTTTAATTTGATCTATCTTTAGGAAATTCAGTTGGAGATATGAAGTAAGGAGTTGTATATATGGATCAGAAGTTGTATATCTGGATCAGAGATGTTTGGGCTAAAGATACAGATTTGAGAATTATTATATAATAGTAATTGAACCTGAACACAATGATACTTCGCTGGGGAATGTGTAGATTAGAGTAAGAAGAAAAGTGGTTACAGAGAGAACCTGGAGAAAAACCAACTTAAGGACCACATAGAAGAAATAAATCTCTAGTGAAGAAAATTAAGATAGAATGATTAGTCTTAGGAATATAATGCAGGACAACCAAACTGACTGCAGTGTGGTGCGACAGGAAGCAAATAGCATTTTGAAACAGTTCACGGGAATGGGGTTTAGTAGCCCAGTAGACTGTTGTACATTCTAAGATGGCAGAGGTCATTATTTTTGGATAATATATAATCTTATTGTTCCACAGTCATAATAATGTAAAATGTGCCTCTTTGTGAATTAAAATGAATAAAAATAGGGCCCCTTTGGGGATTAAGTGTAAACATGGCCTGCCAGATTGTTTTATTTTTATGATTTTATATCTAAGTTTCTTACCCATCTTAAAACAAAAGACACTGCTTTCATTGGAACTGCAAACTGCCCTAGTATAATTAATGACTTTAAAACTCAGTTTTGTATTTGAGATTTTTTTAAAAACCTTTTGGTTTATGTAGCTGGGAATATTTAAAGAGGTATTGCTTATCTTCTGCTTGCAGGCTTATCAGTAACATCAGAACAAATAAATCCTCATAGTACTGGAGCTCGGAAGACAGAAACTAGAGTCGAAGAGGCATTTCGGCACAAACAAAGAAATCCAATGGATGTGTGGCACAACTCTGCAAATAAATGTGCATGTGAGTATTTCAGCTCATGTTATCCAGTAGTGAGAACAACTGAGAATGATGTAGATATGTTAGGAATTGGGTACAAAACAAAGTGCCGCTCTTTTCCCATAGCTCTTTTAATCTCTTTTCAGAGGTGAAGAAGAGCTTGTGAGGTAAATGCTGAATCAGAAATATATTTCTTTAACTTTATTTGTTATTTTCTATCCCTATTCAATATTATTTGCTATGACAATTGAACTAGGCTTGAATATTTTCAGTTTTAAACTTTGGTTTTTGGATAGCCATGTGGAGCCAGTAGAATTTTTATATGCCCCTGTCCTTATCCTCCACTCCTTGTACACTATGCAGGATGTTCTCTTTAGGGTGGGAAATGGACACTCCCGCATGTGGGTGTGTCTGATCTGGCAACAGGAAGTTGATTTTTCTGAGAGACTATTTTGTGTTCAGTTTGAAAAATTGGCACAGCCTTCTTTTCTTTGTAGTTTTTGTGAGATGTATTTAAAGGGAAAATTGGGAGTTTTTTTGTACTCATTCATGTTGATCTATAACATTTCCAAAAGTCAAATGTTAATAAACACTGCGTCTTTCTAATAGAGTTCTTCTGTTTCACTAAAGATAGCCTTCCTTGGAAGATACATGCTGTTTTTCTGGTATAAAGGTGATAATCCAGGTTAAGTATCCCTTATCCAAAATGCTTGGGACCCAGAAGTGTTTTGGATTTTGGATTTTTTTTGGATTTTGGAATATTTGCATTGTACTTACTGGTTCTGCATCCCTAATCCAAAAATCAGATATCTGAAATGCTCCAACGAGCAGTTACTTTGAACGACATGTCAGTGCTCAAAAAGTGTTGGATTTTGGATACTCAACCTGAACTACTTTGTCAGTAAAGCTAGCTATAATATGTTGTTTCACCAGTGGCATTGAATTTGAATGAATAAACTATACCCACCTTTTTAAAGCTTGTCCCCTTTTGGTAAGTGGCATTTGTATATGAGAAAGTTTGAGAAAGGACTCGATGATGCCGTGAAACTGATTAAGCCTATTTGGCCTAGTTGTATTTCAGATCATGACTTGGATTGTGTAATGTAGTACTCTAATTTAAACTTTGAAATTCTTTACATTCTATGCATCTGCTACAAATATTTATGAATGAAAATACATTGACTATTCACTTGAAGAAGTTTTAAGTGCCTTTAAATATTTTAAAAACTTTTTGAATCTACAAATATGAGTTTTGTTTTCTCTTACCAGTAGATGGCATATGCGACCCATAATTTTTCTGTTTTACATTAACTTAAATAAGAAATCTGAATGTCCCTAAGGCGTAGTTGCTTTCCTAAGGCCTTAGTTTTGGAAACAAACTCAGTGATGCTATAAAAATTGACTCTAAAGATCGTGTCTCTAAATGGACTTTTCACACAGAGCACCCCGATGAAGGAAGTGGTGTGTGTGTGTGTGTGTGTATGTGTGTGTGTGTGTGTATATGTGTGTGTGTGTGTGTGTGTGTGTGTGTGTATATATATAAATTTATTTATTTTTTTTTTTTTTCTTGAGACAGAGTCTCTCTCTGTTGCCCAGGCTGGAGTGCAGTGGCTCAGTCTTGGCTCGCTGCAACCTCCGCCTCCTCAGGTTCAAGCAATTCTCCCACCTCAGCTTCCCAAGCTACTGGGACGACAGGCGCCTGCCAGCACACCTGGCTCATTTTTTTGTATTTTTAGTAGAGATGGGGTTTTACCATGTTGGTCAGGTAGGTCTCGAACTCCTGACTTCAAGTGATCCGTCAGCCTCGGCCTCCCAAAGTGCTGGAAGTACAGGTGTGAGCCACCATGCCTAGCTGGAAATGGTATATTAAGCATTAGGTCCACAAATACTAATATATACTCTTGCCACAT
Organism: Homo sapiens; assembly: GCF_000001405.40. Classification (NCBI taxonomy): domain Eukaryota; kingdom Metazoa; phylum Chordata; class Mammalia; order Primates; family Hominidae; genus Homo; species Homo sapiens. The sequence continues at coordinate 23,760,322 of NC_000002.12, read as the reverse complement.
GCCAGGTACTGTGAAGATACATCAGTGACTAAAACAAAAATCTCTTCTTGTGGAGCTAATGTGGTCTGTTTCTCTTATTTTGCCAAAATTATACCAACCATTAGAAATAATTATATAAGGAAGAGAAAAATACCTCCAGTCCTACTTCCCAAAGATTAAGACCATTTTCTCTTACCGTATTAGCCAGGTCTATCCTGCAGTAACTTGCTTCAGCAGGGCTCCCAGCCTTTGCTTATGTACTGCATGTCAGGTAGTTGAGGTGACTCCTGATTGAGCAGAGTTCAGCTTCATTTTGCTCTAGTTTCATGGCTTAGGAAAGAAAAAGGGAACCTATTGTACTTTCAGTTACATGGTTGCAGAATAAGAGAGGTTATGGTGTCAGGAATGGCCTGTCAGGTAGTAAAAGCCTAATAGCGCTAACTTGCAGAGTCAGAGCAAGCTGAATGCTTTTTATTTTTTATATGGACTAGATTAGTTTTTCTTATAGCTAATGGGATGTTTACAAATGCCCATCACCTGAGCCTGTGTACCAGATTTTAACAGTAGATTAATACAGAAATTTTCTTCTCTATGCTAATTACCCTGTAACTTTAAATTATATAAATAGAAATTAATAGGGGAAAAGAATGAAGAGTTAGTGCTAACAGGATTACAGTTTTGAAGGAAAAATACATGTTGAGCCAAATGACTCAATAACCTGAATTTTGGAGATGATTTCAGAAACCTTTAGGAGATATATTCTTAGGTAAGAAAGAAGAGTAATATTTATAACTAAATTTATCTATTTCTTGTGAATTTACAGAGATGCAGCAGGAATTAAAGATGAAAGGATTAAATAAGTATGTAAATACACTACACTGTTGATAGATTCTAAATTCATATTAAGCAGTGTGAATATAAGAAACAAGGGTTGTCATTAAAAGACCATATTCCTTTCTGTCTCTATAAAGCAATTTTTAAACTACAGATTAAACAGCCTACAGTTAGTGATTTCATATTTATATTTTCTTTAAAAAATATCTTTGCCCAGGAAGCTTTTCAGCTTTGATGTATTAAACATATATATTGTCTTTTTTTAAGTTAAAATTATTATGTTCATAACCACAGAAAAAATGAATATTTTTATTCTGATACTTTCAACAAACTAGTATTTAGAATTTGGGGTTAGATACCAGAAGTGATTCAGCTCTAGCATAAGTGGTTTGCTTTAATAATTTTTGTATTTAAGTGTTCTGAAGAACACTTAACTGTATTATGCAAGTGTCCCAAATTATAAAAGTTAACTTTTTGTTTATTTAAGGGACAATGAGGTAGACTTGCTTAACCATCTACCTCAATTTGATACATATGTGAGAAATTAAAAATTCCAGGGTCCATTAATACCTAGAGGCCCTAGCTGCCTACTCATAAAGCTCATGATAGTTTCTAGCATCTAAGAGTATAGTCCTTACAACTTTTGTAGGCCTCCCTTTTCACATAAGTGACCAAGTATTTATTTTCAGTGTTTTGTTTATGTTGTTGTTGTTGCCTTGATAGCAGAGGGCTTAGTTTTCCTACATATTCTCAAATAACTTTGCAAGAAATTGATGCTGCTGGGTGAACTGTTTGTGCTAGAAGAGATTAACAGTTGGCTCACCAAATTGTCCAAATAACCTTCATAAGGCATCTATCCATGGTCATACTTAACTTTGGGTGATTCCTTTTTCTGGAAGGAGAGGTTTCTTTGTGAGGATACCCTTAACTGTTCTGTTATGCTATATTGAATCATGTCTTTATTTTCTTTCATGATTTAGGAGCTACCTTTTGCTAGTAAAACATCCACCTTCCTGGTGGAAATCCAGGGCTTTGGCCCCAAACTTTCTGGCAGCCTGGTAATGTGGTCATTCTTTAAATGTGTATATTATATGCGTGGCTTTTGGATGTTGAAAATTAGGAACAGTAGTAAAGTAGGATCTAGGATAGTAGAAAAGATTAGTGCTGAATAAACTCATACAGGAAATACATTAAAAAATGTTTTATTCTGCAGAGTTCATCCCTGACTTCATATCCATTCCATTTGTAGGTTGCAAGGATTAGTCAGCATGAATGTCAAGAGCTAAGTAGTTTTTGTGTGTTACATCAGCATGGGTTTACTTTCTTTTGGGTCCTGTTTAATAAACATATGTAAAATTGGTATTGCATTCCAAGTTCTACATATCTTTTTTCCTTCCTTGTAAAACAGTTCGGGTTCGGAGAAAATCAAGGCGGAGATCACAGTGGGGTAAAGGAATTATTAAGAAAAGGAAAGTTAATAATTTAAAAAAAGATGAAGAAGACACCAAATTTGCAGACTATGAGAACCATACGGAGGACAGGAAATTATTAGAGAATGGAGAGTTTGAGGTAAGCACTGACTGCCATGAGGAAAATGGAGAAGAGACTGGAGACTTATCTATGACCAATGATGAATCATCCTGTGACATCATGGACTTGGACCAGGGGCAGAGGCTTAACAATGGAGCAGGCACAAAAGAGAACTTTGCATCTACTGAGGAGGAAAGTTCAAATGAATCTCTACTGGTCAACAGCAGCAGTTCCTTAAACCCGGAGCAGACCTCCAGGAAAGAGACTTTCCTTAAAGGAAATTGTCTAAATGGTGAGGCTTCCACTGACAGTTTTGAAGGAATACCAGTTCTGGAATGTCAGAATGGCAAGCTTGAAGTAGTTTCTTTCTGTGATAGTGGAGATAAATGTAGTTCTGAACAAAAGATTCTTCTGGAGGACCAGTCAAAAGAAAAACCAGAAACTTCGACTGAAAATCATGGAGATGATCTTGAGAAACTAGAGGCACTGGAATGTAGCAATAATGAGAAGTTAGAACCTGGCTCTGATGTGGAGGTTAAAGATGCAGAACTGGATAAAGAAGGTAGAGCTAATATTTGAAAAATCTTCTGAAGGTTTAAACTCCAGAGTTAATTCGTTGTGTATTTTATCTGGTTCCCAGTAGTAATAGTTGATGAATAATTATACCCCTCTGAGAATATGTTAAAGTTTTCATCCTATTCTCTAGAAAAGCACACATGTGTGCACGTACACACACACACAGAGGCATGCACCAAATTTTGCTTTAAGTTTCAGAGGGTGTATCGTTTCGAGTGCATTGCTTTACTGGCCGCTTACTCTTCTGCCTCCTGCCTGATTATCACCCCTAGCCTCAGGGATTTATGACTGAAAGCTGAGTAAATCCACAGGTGTTAAGAAGATGGAATTCCAAGAAGAATTATTGGCATGGGCTGGGTGTGGGCAGAGAAGACTTAGTGATAATAGCAGTATGATATATTCGGAAGAGTAATATAGACCTAGATTAAATTACCACTCTTGTTCATTATAATCATGTGACTTTCAGCTCATTATTTACACTCTCCAAGCCTATTTATTCATCTAGGAAATTCAACTTCAGAATGGTGTTGCAAGGATTAAATAAGTCGTGTATTTTAATTGCCTCTCGTGGTAACTGGCACATACTAAGGTATATTCATTCCAGGAAGTCATTGTTAATTGAATCCAAGGGCTGTTCAGTCTAAAAGCCTTCATTGCTTTATAAGTCCAATAGTGGGGGAAAGAAGCAGAGCAATCATTGTCAAGTTTACCTTGTTCTCAGGGAATCAGAGTACTCTCCCAGCTTCTGACTTCTTATGGCTACATGATTCATTTAAGAAGCAGCAGAAAGAGGGAGTTAAGGGTTTCTAGCCTGTCTTTATCATTATTCTTTAGCCCATAGCAGGGTCTGGGATGAGTTGATATCTACCCTGCTCAATATACATTTCCTTCCTGGATAGGTACTCTTATAGGAGGCTATCCTAAAATTATATTATTTTCTCTAAATTGTGTGGAGTGGAGAACACAGCTTCAGCCTGGGATTTGGGCTATGTGGGAAAATTTTTTTTTTTTCTGCCAGTATTTTAAGTCCTTTAGCAGAGTTAGGAAGCAGGAAAATATTATTCAAAGTCTAAGAATTCCTTTAATGGATAAAGAGAAATTTACTGTTCTTAAATGCTACCTGTTAAACATTTGTCTTATTCTTCAATATTTAATACTAAAATAGTTTTCAGAGCAGTATTCATTCTGGGCTATCAGATAGACAGAACTTTAAAAATATGTTAAAGCTAGGGTTAAGTAATGAATATAACAGCATGGGAAAAGTGGAGAAGGAATCTGGTATGAGGCCGAATGGGTGGGGATAGAGGAGTCTATTTTAATGCTGATTTCTATGAGATTTCCATAAGCGTGCTGAAAAAGGCTTAAATTAATATTGTGTTCAGTTGGTGATCTAAACACTATAAAGATAATTGTTGTGTAAAAGTTTGACCTGAAGCTTTCATTTGGAATTATCAGGACAGTATCCTAATCTGAGTTTTCAGGCCTCTAGAAGTCCATGGATGTAGTAATGAGGATCAATATGATTTTAACAAAACTCCTAGCATATGGTAATTGAACTATGAAGTCTTTCACATTAAAAGCAGCCTGAAATATAAAATTTCTCTGATATATCATGATACATGTTTTTGAAGGCAATACTTTGGTTCGTTTGCTGTTTGTTTTATAAAGCAGGCATTGAGAAGGAGGATGAGTTTAAAGACTTGGGAGTAAGAAATAAGAGGACTAATGTAGGATGGAGGCGGGTCCCTGCATTGAGACACTTAATAAATATGTTCTCCTTAGTGTCCCTGACATGGGCCACATCCTGTATGAAATTCTGAAACAGTCCAAGTTTGTCTTTGTGTTCCTTCCCCTCACTCATCCTCCTCTTAAGAGTAGTCCTACTTAGGGGAGCACAGGGCTCCATGGTCTACCCACCCTTTGTACCCCTCAGAATGCCTGGGTTCGTGAAATTATGCTTAGCCACCTTAAAATTTCTGTTTGTTTAGTGTGGCTGGTTTCAGCAAAATGTGAGGAGGAAAGTAATTAGATTACACTAATTTACTCTAAGGTAGGAAAGAACACCAGCCCTATTACACTTTTAATGGGTTTATATTTTTAAGAAAAAAATGTTAAACTCTGAATCAATTTCTAATAGAATTTTAGGCAGTGTAACAGACAAGAAATTTCAGGCAATGCTGAAGGGAATGTTTTAGGTTGGGAGGCAAATGTGTAGACAGGTGGGCCCCACTTTTGTTAGTATCTGCTTTTCTAGGTTGCTTCCCTTCTTGTGGTTCTGAAAGCTCCCAGTTGTAAAATGGTAGCTGTCATAGAGTGAAGGCTGTTTGTTAAGTCAGTGCTTAGAGGTGAAGATTGCTTTTATCTTCCTTTTAGTGGATATGCTTATTAGGTGATACTTTAGTATGACTTGGCTTTTTAAGTTGTAGTTTAGTTTTCTTTAATTTGGGTTACTTAGTCTTACCAATAAAAAATCTACCACATTGGGTTGCTTTAAAAAAAATCACTTAAGAATACACCCTTCCTCATTCCAAAAGGGATTTGTGTGGTAGGTAAAAGAATTTATAACTGCTTAAGACTGGTTTTTCTTAACTTTTACTTGCTGCAGTGTATTTTTTTGTCTCAATTATAGGTGCTTCTAAAGTAAAGAAATACCGTAAATTAATTTTAGAGCAGGCAAAAACGACAAGCCTGGAACTGGTTCCAGAAGAGCCATCTGAGCCTGTGCCTCCTCTTATAGTTGATCGTGAGAGATTGAAGGTAAGCTTAGCTATTCCCAGTCAAGTTTTAAATGAATGGACGGAGATTTGAATGTGTTTGTAGGCAGTTGAGTAAAAGTAGTTTTCCTGCTTTAACCCTGAAATATAAATGCCTCAGAGCTCCTAGTAAAAAAGAGTTATGTGTATTTTAAGGAGTTGAAAGATACGGGAGTAGTCCAAGATATTCTAAGGGAATGATTTTAAGCCCTCAAATCTTTTAATTTCATGTTCACTGTTACATCCTCGCTTTATGGTGTTTATTGACTAGCCATTTGAATATACAATTTCAGTTTGACCAGTGAAATCAAATTACATTTTATTCTTTTCTGTTTTTTCTTAGAAATTGCTTGATTTGTTGGTGGATAAAAGCAACAATCTGGCAGTTGATCAGCTTGAGAGATTATATTCTCTTCTTAGTCAGTGTATCTACCGTCATCGTAAAGATTATGACAAATCACAACTTGTAGAGGTAAGTGTTTAGTTTATCTGTAGAATAAACAAATACTTGATTTTACTTGTTCCAAAGAAAAGAGGAAAAAAAGTTATTTTGCCTACATCTATGTCTTTTACCAAGTAGCTGAAGAATGTTTTGAAGATTTAAGACAAAAATCATTAAGAGTTACAGTTTGAAGAATAAAGCCTTTCTGTACCATTTTGTCTCTGGAAAGAAGTAATCTGGGGTTCCTTTTTTTTGTCAAAACACAGAAATCCATGGTTCTAGGGTGGTAAATATACAGAAATAGTATGTCACAATTCTCTCCCTACTTGCTTATAACTGACGTGCCAATTGAGCCTGTCACTTGGGCTTGTCGGATGTGGTCATGGCCCCACACTCCTTATCACTGCTTCCTAGGTAGCCACTGCTGATATAAAGGCGTTGGCATGGGTAGTGAGACCTATTTGCCATTAATGGTTGGAAGATAACTCAAAAGTCATCTTATTTTGGTCAAATCTAGTCCTATAAATTAGCCATATGAAGGAGCGACTGTCCTTTTGCTGAGATACTTTTAGAGATGAGACATTCCCTTTCTAGACAACTCTAAACCAAGGGAAATTCTTCCTGTATAAATATGAGCTTCTATCTTTGTTTATATAATTTCCATCATTAAACCACACTTCTGCCTTTTCAGGTCATCTGAGCAAATGTAATCACTCATCTACCCACAAAATGGCTAAATGACTTAATTCAACTCCCTTTGTTGATTTGCCTGTTAGTTTGTTTATCTGGTGGTCTATCTATTAAATGTTTATTGAGTACCTGCAGTGCCAGATGCTGTGCTGGGTGTTTGGAATGCAAAAAATGAGTAAGACAAAGTCTCTGCTCTCAAAGAATATTTTTAGTATATTAAAGATTTATATGTAAAGGATATAGTTATTTTTCATGTGTAATTTTCTTTTCTTATTTGGCAATATATGATAAAACATTTAGCAGGAGTGATTTTTGTTGGCCACATGGAAGAACTTGTTGATCGGATGATGATCTGTTAATACAGCCTGTTAGTTTTGCAGAGATGTAGAATAGAATTTCTTTGGAGCTGTTTAAAGGGAAGGAAAAAATGCAAGTGTCTTAGATGTATTTGACATTTGCCCACCTGAATAAAATGTGCGGGGTAGAGTTATTCACATTTTTTTTAATTCTAGAACTTCTTTGTTCATATGGTTGCAGTTTTATTAGCTTGAATGCATTAAATACTCCTCACCAGTGAAACATCTCAGTGTGGAATCCTAATAATCTAGAGGCCTAGTTTAGGGAGGGAAGGGATTGATAACAGAATCAGCAGTGAGTGGCTTTCATGGTGGTAGTGATGGAAGCCACTCATTCTGGCTCTTTTTTAACCCTGTCTTTTCAGCTCTGGTTGGAGTGAATAGAAGTGGGAACACAATGCATTCTGCTTTTTGGCATAAGTTTCACTATACTGAATGCATTCATTTTGCTTTGGGAGTTAGTGAAATATAATGAGGAAGGAAGGGCTCAGTCTCTGGAGTGAGGCTGCCTGTATTCAAATCCTGACTGCCACCTGTTAGCTGTCAAATTATTTATCCCCTCTGTGCCTCAGTTTCTTTATCTGTAAAATGGACCTGATAGTAATACGTTTGTTCAATCTTCAATGTTATGGGAGTTAAAACTATATATATAAATTATATATATATGCATACATATAAATATAAATATTTACTTATATTTATGTATTTTATATATAGAAATCTCTTAGTAAATATCTGGCATAATAACTTACTCATTAAGTGTTGCTATCATCATCCTTATATTCATATTACTCATATCATACCTCATACTGATATTACTGGCATAATAAGTTAGTTATTTGTTGAGTGTGACCATCATCATCATCCTTATTGGCCTAAATATAAAATAGGAGGTACTTGGAAGTATCTAGGGGAGATAGTCTTAATTACCTATGGTATTATAATCAGGAAAATATTCAAAGTTTAACCTGTATCTCAAATTCATTCCCTAAAAATTTAAAGTGAATTCTTCCGTAATGAGGAACACTTTTGTCTTTCCCTTAATAGATAACATGCATTTTTTTTCCTTTTATAGGAGATGGAAAGAACAGTTCATATGTTTGAGACATTCCTATGAACTTTTCAAGATGAGTGGTTTATCCTCTCCAATCTGCTCCTCACAGAGCAGTCTTCTGAGCCATTCAATTTCAAATTGCACCAATTATGTGCAGAGCCTTGGTGTAAAGTGCTCTCTCACTCATTCTTTCTCTCTGTTGAATTTGGTGCTATTGTCTCAGGTACCTGAAACCAACCAGCCTACAAGAACCAAACAGAACTTCAGAAACATGTTGTATTTTCCACAAATAAAAAATACAACCCCACAGCTTGGAGATTTTGGTGCTACAGAAACTGCTCTCGCTTCTGCTCCTCTTTTTGTGCACTCTCTTTTGGAGACTCCTCTCTTAGGGAGCAGACCAGCAAACAGGAGGAAACTGGATGGGGGCAGTTCTAACTGTGTTGAATTGTTTAAACAGTGGGCAACTTGTTATTTTTTTTTCCTCCATTTTACCCCTTTAATCATATTTTTCCCCCATCTGGGTAATGGACTGAAACCTGTTTTAGAGTTGGCTATGGTCTGTTCTGGTGGGAAGCTGAAGAAACTGGATGAAATTAGGTCAGGCTCTTTAGAACTGCCTTTAACGTGCCTTTTTATTCATTTGAGGAAGATAAGGCTAAAAGGATGGGCTGTTTGAAGCAAATAAATTAGAAATATTTCTTTGGTCACAACCTTGAAAATAAGTTTTGATACTCTATGTCATTAAGAGACAACCAGTGTTTGGGTATGAAATGCCTGTCTTATTCTCAAAGCTCAATCAAGACACCCAGTAAGCCACATAATATACTAAAATGGTAAGTTTTCTTGTAAGGTCTGTTTTGGTTTAAGAAACATGAATAACAACAAAGAATAATACACAGTCCACACACAAAAAAACAAAAAACAAAACTGCACACGTTTTGGTATTGCCAACAATGATGACTAGAAAATAAATAGATAGTGGCCATTTTTTCTTCTGTCAGTGGCAATTTAATAGTTATTCATGTTTGAGTTCCCAGAGAAAAATGGTTTTCATATGTAGTAAATTGTTGTTTTGTTTTAAAGCCAGGACTTGCCAAATGGACAGAAAAGAGAGGAATTCATCAGAAGCTCCATAAAATTCATTTTCTGTATGCTTAATTGCAAACGAGCTCTGGTATGGTCCTTGAATAACAGTATTAATGTTTAAATCCCATCTCCTAAGCTTACCTTCACAACTCTTCTTTTTGATTGGAAACCATTTTGAATCTTGTTGAGTGATTTCTGTGAATTGTATGTATCTGAAATTAATTATGGGTTACTAGTTTTACAAAAACTTTCTACAAATTTGGAGACACAGTCTAGGCAGTTGCAATGAGGCAAAGGATGCAGTGACTTTTTTTATCAGATGATTTTTAAACAAAAAGAAAATTTTGCCAGCAAGTTGGCTTGGTATCTTCATTCATTGTAGCCGTTAGCTGCAGGTGTGTCTTTCCAATATATGCAACACATGTAGTTTGGGTTTTAATTAGGGCGAATGGTCTTGGACTACTGCAGAGATTCTGAGCTACCTCAGCTTTTTGTATTTTAGTTACCAACAGTGTTTACAGAGTCTTGTAATCACTTTGCCACCGTTTACATCCTGAAGCTAAGGTACTTGTCTCCTTGTCTTTGGCTCTTTGTAGTGTGCAGAAAGCATACTTTGGCCATAGCCTACTGCAGTAATCCAAAGTGCTTCTTTGCATTTACATTTACATCTAACGCCTTCTAATTCTAGCTTAATTTTTTTTTAAATGCCACGTGTTTTCTTTGTACCTAGTCTGTGAAGTTTCTGTAATATCCAGTTAGTCATACAAGTCAAGATGCTACCCATGTAGACACACTGTATTTTTAAGGTGGGCAAGTGCGATTAACGATGAACCATTTTAAAGGGGAGGTTATTTGAAACCTCTAATTTGATTATTGGGAGGATTTTCATGCTTTCTTTAGTATTTATTACCATCATACCGATTCAAACTATTTTATTGTCTAATACATTAGCATTTTGTATTTTGATGGAAATTGTTACAGAATTTAAAGATTTGATGAAATAAGATGTAGCAGATTTTTTGTAGCAAGTTTCTGGTAAAAGGGTTTTTTGCAAGTCTCAGGTTCTTGCTGCACTATTTTTTTTTAAATATTTATTCCAGTTATTCTAATTCAGAAGCATTCTTTTCAAGTAACAGCAGCACTTGTGAAAGGAAAAAAAAATGCACATGTTTCTTAGTAGGTTACTAAATTTGTACAATTAATTAAGATTTTAGCCATCAGTGAGTTTGAAAAGGGAAATGTATTTATTTTCAGCATTAAAATGCTTCCAAAAGATCAAGTTGCTTTTGTTTGTTTGTTTTTTTAACCGTAATGTAGATGGAGAAATTGGAGGCAACCTCAGTATAGGAACTGCCACTTTGAACAGTTTAGGTCTTAAAGAGAAAGTCAATCTAATGCCAAGGGGAGAACAATGAGCTGAAATTGTACCAACTCCTCTGGCCCTCCTTCCCTCAATTAAAAAAACACACTTACCAGTTTTGCTTATTTTACAGATATCTGGTGGTTCTATAGTTTAAAGCAGCTTGTGAAATTAAAAAAGTGGACTCAATTTTGTTTACCTTTCTGTAAGTTTTTCATTTTTGCTGTATAGCATTGGCAAAAATATGTACAAATTGACCTCTGTTCTTATTTCCTATTGTGAGCATTATAAAGATAAGCTCCTATGTAAAACCTTGCTCTCAGATGAGTAAAATATGTATCACAGCATAGCTCAGCAATAATTCATGCTCAGCTGTGGGGACCCTGGGGGCTTTTTGAAGATGATGGAACCGCACTAGGGTTGAAACTGATGGCTGTGGAGTTAATTGTGTTTTCGAGCTTGAATCTCACCTGTGATTTTTTTTTTTTAATGTTGTTTCATGACTTGATTTTTCTCATAAGCCAATGTATTTGTAGGTTTACTGGATTTTATTTTTAGGGAGTGGGTAATTTCTTCCCTTTTTTGATTAAGTTGGTTCAGCTATGGTGCTATTCAGTAGGTATCTTCAGTGTCAGGTCCCGTAGCTGAATGCCATTGTTATTATAATTATTATTTGTAATCACATTGTAAGCTTGAATTTGGGCTTGTACCTGCATCTTTTGTATTCTGTACATCTGGTTACTTAGACTTTGGGAGTCCAATTTGGTTTCAGTCATGTATGTCTACTTTGTAGTTTAAGTAGACTTCATCAACTATGGTCTATTTTGGGTTTGTAGTTTTAATTTAGAATTGTGTTAAATTGATGTTTTGCATTTGACTTCATTTGACATTAGTTGAAGTAAATTATTTAATTTTTGAATTCTGGAATTTGAACATTTACTGTAATTTGTAATATAACTGCTGTGAAATACTTGAATAAAGATGACAAGAAAAACATGTCTTTCTTTAGCTTAATTATGATCACTGTTGGCTACAAATGCAGTGCTACTTTTCTAGCTGATTTAGACTGTTTTAGAGAGAGGCATATTGCTGGTTATTAAGCACCCAAAAAGTCGTGTTATATGTTCCTTTTAGATTTTAAGTACACCTCACGATTTTTTAGCTGAAAGCTTTTTATGTTGAGAAAGCGTGGTTTTAGTTTTAGTTGAAGATTGTCTAAAATATGTTGTATAGAAGCAAATGGATTACTTCTGAGATTTGTTTTTCTAGCTGGAAGACTATACGATAACATATGATCAGGTCATATGGTTCATTAGTTTAAAATGTTTTCCTTTTTATCGGGTTGTTATCAGTATACTTTGTACAGTATAGCACATAATATGGACAGAGATTTCATACCAGAGTTTTGAAGGGCTTACTTCAAGTGAGTAGAATGTTCTTGGCTTCAGAATACCTATTTTTCCTGTGTGCCTTGAGACACCTTTTCATGTTCCTGTAGTACACTGATCTTCCTCAATATAAATTCTTACTTTTGTTTTTTGAATCACAGTAAAAAAGATGGATTTTAGTTAAGACTTTGTTTTGCCTGATTTTTCAGATTCTATAATTTCAACTTTTGTCTGTATCAAAAGATTGTTAATAATAAACCTGCAAAACATATTTTTAACACTGTCTGAATGTTTAGATAAAAAGCTTATAATTTGAGGCTCAATCAAGTTTTTTGGATTCTGGAGATGAAGTTTTATTTATCTAGTTTTAGTTTCCATAAGACTCAAAACTACAGTAAAATCTGAGGCAAATCTTTAAATCTATTTCATGTTATCCCTGTACCCTGACACCTACAAAGTTATCTAGTGACTGTTTAAAAATATATACATTCCCTCTTTTACCCCCACATGTATATGTTTGTTATGTGCCTGACATTATGCCAGGCATGTGGGATACACAAATAACATATTCCTGTTCTCAGGTAGCTTAGAGTCTGCCAGGGGAATTGGTATATATACCAGTAGTAATGATTCAGTGGAATAAGTGCTTTAACAGAAGGGACACAATAACGTTCAGAGTTCTGGGAAGGGAACCAATTAATTATGTTTAGGAATGGGGGAAATAAGGAAAGACTTCAGAGAAAGTTGGCATTATATTTGCTCTTCATCTCTATCTGGCTTTTCTAGAGTCGATCCCCACTTTACCAAAGTTTGTTCTTGTTTTTTTGTGTGTGTGACCTTTCATATTACATCAGATGTATTGTTACAGAATCTAAACCCTGCCCATATTTCAGGGCTGTATAGTATTATATATATAATATACATACTATGTATGTATGTGTAATATATATATATTACACATATGTATATATATGGCGTATGCTGATCTTTCTTCAGAAATTAGCTATGTTTTGTACTGCATTACATAGTAAGTTACTATGTAAATATAATTTATAAAACAGTAATTTATTCATGAGGGAAGGGGAGATAGAAAAGTATTATATTTCTTCTGTATTCCCTATAGGAATTTGAAGCAGTGCAGGATTCAGTAGATGCTTATTTAATTCCTTTAGATTTGCATGACATAGAAGGCACAAATTTACCTTAATCATTTTTTCATTCATTTATAAAATACATAACAAGTGCCTACCATGTATCAGGCACTGTTGCAGGTGCTAGAAATAAAGCAGCAAACTAAACAGAAAAAGTCCGTGTCTTCATGGAGCTTAAATTCTTTCTGATGTTGTGTGCCAGGTTTCTGTCATGGTTGATCAGAGTTCACATTATTTTTTAAAAGTGTGGTGCTCTTAAAAGCTCTTAAAGCACTTTTAAATTTCATTAAGCAGTGAATGAAGCATTTTGTTATTAAAAATTTGCCAGGAACTCTGCTTTTTCCTTCTTGCTTCCCTTATATTCCCTATCTTGGTGAGAAACCTAGCTGTCAACCTGAACTTTATCTTCTTTATGACCCATCTCATTCTAATCATGCAGCACATTCTGTTGATTTATTTTCCCCCTAAGCATGTCTCATACCTATCACCCTTTCTCCATTCCTGTTATCTTAGTTTGGGCACTAATCCTTTTGTTTGGACTAGTGTAATAGCTGTCAGTTCAGTAAACATTTAAGCATTTATTCAGTGCCTACAGAGTGCTAGGCATTGAGGGAGCATAAAGATGAGCAAGACATTGTGTCTGTCTTCAAGGACATTTTTATAATTTAACATACTTATATCACGTTTACTAGGTGCTGGAGACTATTCTGAGTGCTATACAGACACAAATGCAAATTCTTTTCATCTTTACAAGAACCTTATGAGATAGGTGCTATTATTATCCCCATTTTACAGATCAGGAAACTGAGTTATAGATTAATTTGCTCAAGGTCACACATCCAGGATTCAAATGTAGGCAGTTTGGCTCCAGAGTTGATGCTTTTAATCACTATGCTTGACTGCTTCTTGTGGGGGTAGACAGATAACAAACATCATTTCAGTCTAATACGGCATGTGTTAAGATTGAATTTTATATTAGGCACTGTAGGTATACAGAGGAGGAGCATGTAACCTAACCTCAAGGAAGCCTTTCTGGTTCCTTGCCTGAGCTGAGGCATCAAGGTGGGAAAGGATTTCCAGGCAGAAGGAACAACAGAAGCATAGGCTGAGAAGTGAAATAGCATGACAGCTGCAGGGGAAAGTACAGGCAGTTCTCTGTCATCACAGGTCAACATCTGTTTCACAGATTTATTTGAGCAACTGCCAAATAAAGCAAGTGCCAGAGCACTGTTCTTGGCAAGGGAGTTAACAGCTGAAGACAGGACAGCAAGGTCCTTGCTTTTTGGAGCTTACAGTCTAGTCAGCAAAGAGTAAACAAACAACATGTTACCTAACAGTGGTAAATGCTTGGATGACAATAAATACAGCAGTAGTATTAGTAGCAGCAGACAACTGAGTGCCAGGTATTATTACAAGCATTAACCATTTAATTATCACAGCAACTGTGGGAGGTAGGTACTGTTGTTGGTCCCATTTAAGAGAAGGGGAAACTGAAATAGAGAATGCTTAGGTGACTTGCCCAAGGTTACACAGCTAACATCAGGTTGGGGGGTCCTATCTTGTGGTGTGGCTTTAGAGATTGAATTTTTAACCCATCAATCATTAAGGTGAATGGTAAATTCCTTTGCTTGTATTCAAGTCTTCCTTCCTTCCTTCCTTTCCTTCCTTCCCTTCCCTTCCCTTCCCTTCCCTTCCCTTTCCTTCCTTCCTTCCTTCCTTCCTTCCTTCCTTCCTTCCTTCCTTCCTTCCTTCTTTCCTTCCTTCCTTCCATCCCTCTCTGTCTCTTTCTCTCTTTCTCGCTTGCTTTCTTTCTTGCGTGCGTGCTTGCTTGCTTGCTGTGGAGTCTGGTTGTGTTGCCCAGACTGGAGTGCAGTAACACGATCTTGGCTCACTGCCGCCTCTGCCTCTCAGGTTCCAGCGATTCTCCTGCCTCAGCCTCGTGGGTAGCTGGGATTAGAGGCATGTGCCACCACCCCTGGCTAATTTTTGTACTTTTTGTAGGGACGGGGGTTTCACCATGTTGGCCAGGCTGGTCTTGAACTCCTGACCTCAGGTGATCTGCCCGCCTTGGCCTCCCAAAGTGCTGGGATTACAAGCGTGAGCAACCGTGCCTGGCCTCAAGTTTTTCTAGGAATAAACATTTTTAAATAGTAGAATACCACAGAGAATAATACAACATGCATGTTCCTACCACCCAGTATTAAATGTTAACAATTTGTCATACTTGTTTTAGTTCTTTTTTGAAAAGAAAAAATTTCAGAGAAGATTTAAGTCTACTTTCTACCCATTCCCAATCCCATTCGTTTTCTTTCTTTACTGGTGGCAGCCACTGTGATGATTTTGACGAATATCCTGTCTGTGTTTTAAATTATTTTATTTGAGAAGGTAATAGTATGCGGCTGGAGTCAGACTGTCTGAATTTGAATCCTGGTTATGTTCCTTCTTGGCTATGCAACATGTGACAAATTATTTCACCCCTCTGCAGGTCAGTGTACTTATCCATAAGATGGGCCACAGTGATAGCACCAACCCCATGGTGGTTACTGCAATGATTACATATTTGAGTGAATATATGTAAAGCACTTAGAACAGTACCAGGCACATAGTAAGTGTTCAAGAAATTTCAGTCATCTTTCTAAACATTTGTATGTGTCTATAAACATTGTTTTGTGGGTTTAAAAATGTCTATAAATGGGATTAATATCTTTAAAATTTATATATTTTAAAGTCAGAAACACATGTATGTAGTTTAAAGAATGAAGTAGTTCTAGAAGGCTTGTTATAAAAAACAGCAGTTCCCTGATTCTAGAACCCTCCTTCTCCAAAAAAAAAAAAAAATTCTCCCAGGAGCCAATTGTTTTCAACACCTGTAGCTGATTATTTGATGTTTCTAAATACTATTCTTAGATGGCTACTTTTTATTTTCCAGTTTTAGTCATTTTCTTTTGATTTCCCACCATTTAAAATATAGTAATATCTGCCCTCACCACACGTTTCACACTTCTTGTCCTCTCGTCCTCCCAGTTGTTTATAATTTTGGTCAGATCATTATTCAGTATTTGCATTATTGTGTCTATGTAAAAATTATTGACAGTGGAACTATTTAGTGTACTATGATGATGTTTCCTTTCTTGTACACCTTTTTGTTAATAATAGTCTTCATTGTATTTATTTACCTGTTTTTTTATGTATAATCATGAGTTTGAACCCAGCACGCCTTTATTCCCAGCATTTTGGGAGGCTGAGGCAGAAGGATCCTTGAGCCCAGGAGTTCAAGACCAGCCTGGGTAACATAATGAGACCCTGTCTCTACAGAAAAATTAAAAAATTAGCCAGGCTTGGTGGCATGCATCATAGTCTCAGCCACTCAGGAGGCTGAGATGGGAGGACCACTTGAGCTTGGGAGTTTGAGGCTTCAGTGACCCAAGATCGCAGCACCTGCACTCCAGCCTGAGTGACAGAGTGACACCCTGTCTCAAAAAAACAATTTTAAAAACTAGTTTGTTCCTCAGTTCATCCCCAGCAATCCAACTCTCTCTCTCTTTTTTTTTTTTTTTTGAGTCGGATTTTCGCTCTGTTGCCCAGGCTGGAGTGCAGTGGTGTAATGTCGGCTCACTGTAACCTCCACCTCCCGGGTTCGAGCGATTCTCCTGCCTCAGTCTCCCAAGCAGCTGGGATTACAGGCATGCGCCACCATGCATTATTTATTTTTATTTCGCAGAGATGGGGTTTCACCGTGTTGGTCAGGCTGGTCTCGAACTCCTGACCTCAAATGATCCACCTGCCTCGGCCTCCCAAAGTGCTGGGATTACAGGCATGAGCTACTGCGCCTGGCCCCAACTCTTGTTAGTATCACCAAACATGTAAGGTATTATAGCATTTCATTTTCTTGAGAAAATTTCTCCTGGAACATTCTAACCCTTTCCAATTTTGCATTGGTGTACACCAAGGTCTTGCATAGTCATTTTTTTTTTTTTTTGGGCGAACATCCTTCACCTTTCTCTTGCACTGAATCTTATATCTGGACTTTTCTCATTTATATCCTGTATTGCTGCTGAGAAGTCGGTGCTTTTCTGCTTATTGTTTTGTTTTCCTGATTTTGTTTCCTTCTCCTAAGGCTTTCGTAATTTTCAGTTTTCCTCTGATGCTCTGGAATTTCACAGACCTGTCTGGGTGTGTGTCTAAATGTTACACTTTTCTTAGGCCTCTCTACTCTGGAAAATCATGTCCTTTTAGTCTGAGAAATTTTCTTGAGTGAATTTTTCACTTTTAGAACTACTGTTATTCAGATCTTGGCCTTTCTACAGTTCTGTTATTCCTTCTTAATTTTTACTTTGGTATTTAGTTTTTAAGAGCCATTTGGAGTTCTCTTGATTTTTTTTTTATTGTTCCACTTTTTAAAATTTGTATTTTATTATTATACTTCAAGTTTTAGGGTACATGTGCACAACATGCAGGTTTCTTACATATGTATACATGTGCCATGTTGGTGTGCTGCACCCATTAACTCGTCATTTATCATTAGGTATATCTCCTAATGCTATCCCTCCCCCCTCCCCCCACCCCACAACTGTCCCTGGTGTGTGATGTTCCCCTTCCTGTGTCCATGTGTTATCATTGTTCAATTCCCACCTATGAGTGAGAACATGTGGTGTTTGGTTTTTTGTCCTTGCGATGGTTTGCTGAGAATGATAGTTTCCAGTTTCATCCATGTCCCTACAAAGGACATGAACTCATCATTTTTTATGGCTGCATAGTATTCCATGGTGTATATGTGCCACATTTTCTTAATCCAGTCTATCGTTGTTGGACATTTAGGTTGGTTCCAAGTCTTTGCTATTGTGAATAGTGCCGCTGTAAACATACATGTGCATGTGTCTTTATAGCAGCATGATTTATAATCCTTTGGGTATATACCCAGTAATGGGATGACTGGGTCAAATGGTATTGCTAGTTCTAGGTCCCTGAGGAATCGCCACACTGACTTCCACAATGGTTGAACTAGTTTACAGTCCCACCAACAGTGTAAAAGTGTTCCTATTTCTCCACATCCTCTCCAGCACCTGTTGTTTCCTGACTTTTTAATGATTGCCATTCCAACTGGTGTGAGATGGTATCTCATTGTGGTTTTGATTTGCATTTCTCTGATGGCCAGTGATGATGAGCATTTTTTCATGTGTTTTTTGGCTGCATAAATGTCTTCTTTTGAGAAGTGTCTGTTCATGTTCTTCGCCCACTTTTTGATGAGGTTGTTTGTTTTTTTCTTGTAAATTTGTTTGAGTTCATTGTAGATTCTGAATATTAGCCCTTTGTCAGATGAGTAGGTTGCAAAAATTTTCTCCCATTCTGTAGGTTGCCTGTTCACTCTGATGGTCGTTTCTTTTGCTGTGCAGAAGCTCTTTAGTTTAATTAGATCCCATTTGTCAATTTTGGCTTTTGTTGCCATTGCTTTTGGTGTTTTAGACATGACGTCCTTGCCCATGCCTATGTCCTGAATGGTATTGCCTAGGTTTTCTTCTAGGGTTTTTATGGTTTTAGGGCTAACGTTTAAGTCTTTAATCCATCTTGAATTAATTTTTGTATAAGGTGTAAGGAAGGGATCCAGTTTCAGCTTTCTACATATGGCTAGCCAGTTTTCCCAGCACCATTTATTAAATAGGGAATCCTTTCCCCATTTCTTGTTTTTGTCAGGTTTGTCAAAGATCAGATAGTTGTAGATATGTGGCATTATTTCTGAGGGCTGTGTTCTGTTCCATTGATCTATATCTCTGTTTTGGTACCAGTACCATGCTGTTTTGGTTCCTGTAGCCTTGTAGTATAGTTTGAAGTCAGGTAGCATGATGCCTCCAGCTTTGTTCTTTTGGTTTAGGATTGACTTGGCGATGCAGGCTCTTTTTTGGTTCCATATGAACTTTAAAGTAGTTTTTTCCAATTCTGTGAAGAAAGTCATTGGTAGCTTGATTGGGATGGCATTGAATCTATAAATTACCTTGGGCAGTATGGCCATTTTCACGATATTGATTCTTCCTACCCATGAGCATGGAATGTTCTTCCACTTGTTTGTATCCTCTTTTATTTCATTGAGCAGTGGTTTGTAGTTCTTCTTGAAGAGGTCCTTCACATCCCTTGTAAGTTGGATTCCTAGGTATTTTATTCTCTTTGAAGCAATTGTGAATGGGAGTTCACTCATGATTTGGCCTCTGTTTGTCTGTTATTGGTGTATAAGAGTGCTTGTGATTTTTGTACATTGATTTTTGTATCCTGAGACTTTGCTGAAGTTGCTTATCAGCTTGAGGAGATTTGGGGCTGAGACGATGGGGTTTTCTAGATATACAATCATGTCATCTGCAAGCAGGGACAATTTGACTTCCTCTTTTCCTAATCGAATGCCCTTTATTTCCTTCTCCTGCCTGACTGCCCTGGCCAGAACTTCCAACACTATGTTGAATAGGAGTGGTGAGAGAGGGCATCCCTGTCTTGTGCCAGTTTTCAAAGAGAATGCTTCCAGTTTTTGCCCATTCAGTATGATATCGGCTGTGGGTTTGTCATAGATAGCTCTTATTATTTTGAGATACGTCCCATCAATACCTAATTTATTGAGAGTTTTTAGCATGAAGGGTTGTTGAATTTTGTCAAAGGCCTTTTCTGCATCTATTGAGATAATCATGTGGTTTTTGTCTTTGGTTCTGTTTATATGCTGGATTACATTTATTGATTTGCGTATGTTGAACCAGCCTTGCATCCCAGGGATGAAGCCCACTTGATCATGGTGGATAAGCTTTTTGATGTGCTGCTGGATTCGGTTTGCCAGTATTTTATTGAGGATTTTTACATCGATGTTCATCAGGGATATTGGTCTGAAATTCTCTTTTTTGGTTGTGTCTCTGTCAGGCTTTGGTATCAGGATGATGCTGGCCTCATAAAATGAGTTAGGGAGGATTCCCTCTTTTTCTATTGATTGGAATAGTTTCAGAAGGATTGGTACCAGCTCCTCTTTGTACCTCTGGTAGAATTCGGCTGTGAATCCATCTGGTCCTGGAGTTTTTTTGGTTGGTAAGCTATTGATTATTTCCTCAATTTCAGAGCCTGTTATTGGTCTATTCAGAGGTTCAACTTCTTCCTGGTTTAGTCTTGGGAGGATGTATGTGTCGAGGAATTTATCCATTTCTTCTAGATTTTCTAGTTTATTTGCGTAGAGGTGTTTATAATATTCTCTGATGGTAGTTTGTATTTCTGTGGGATTGGTGGTGATATCCCCTTTATCATTTTTTATTGCATCTATTTGATTCTTCTCTCTTTTCTTCTTTATTAGTCTTGCTAGTGGTCTATCAATTTTGTTGATCTTTTCAAAAAACCAGCTCCTGGATTCATTAATGTTTTGAAGGGCTTTTTGTGTCTCTGTTTCCTTCAGTTATGCTCTGATCTTAGTTATTTCTTGCCTTCTGCTAGCTTTTGAATGTGTTTGCTCTCGCTTTTCTAGTTCTTTTAATTGTGATGTTAGGGTGTCAATTTTAGATCTTTCCTGCTTTCTCTTGTGGGCATTTAGTGCTATAAATTTCCCTCTACACACTGCTTTGAATGTGTCCCAGAGATTCTGGTATGTTGTGTCTTTGTTCTCGTTGGTTTCAAAGAACATCTTTATTTCTGCCTTCACTTCATTATTTACCCAGTAGTCATTCAGGAGCAGGTTGTTCAGTTTCCATGTAGTTGAGTGGTTTTGAGTGAGTTTCTTAATCCTGAGTTCTAGTTTGATTGCACTGTGGTCTGAGAGACAGTTTGTTATAATTTCTGTTCTTTTACATTTGCTGAGGAGTGCTTTACTTCCAACTATGTGGTCAATTTTGGAGTAGGTGTAGTGTGGTGCTGAAAAGAATGTATATTCTGTTGATTTGGGGTGGAGAGTTCTGTAGATGTCTATTAGGTCCACTTGGTGCAGAGCTGAGTTCAATTCCTGGGTATCCTTGTTAACTTCCTGTCTCGTTGATCTGTCTAATGTTGACAGTGGGGTGTTAAAGTCTCCCATTATTATTGGGTGGGAGTGTAAGTCTCTTTGTAGGTCATTAAGGACTTGCTTTATGAATCTGGGTGCTCCTGTATTGGGTGCATATATATTTAGGATAGTTAGTTCTTCTTGTTGAATTGATCCCTTTATCATTATGTAATGGCCTTCTTTGTCTCTTTTGATCTTTGTTGGTTTAAAGTCTGTTTTATCAGAGACTAGGATTGCAACCCCTGCCTTTTTTTGTTTTCCATTTGCTTGGTAGATCTTCCTCCATCCCTTTATTTTGAGCCTATGTGTGTCTCTGCACGTGAGATGGGTTTCCTGAATATAGCACAATGATGGGTCTTGACTCTTTATCCAATTTGCCAGTCTGTGTCTTTTAATTGGAGCATTTAGCCCATTTACATTTAAAGTTAATATTGTTATGTGTGAATTTGATCCTGTCATTATGATGTTAGCTGATTATTTTGCCCGTTAGTTGATGCAGTTTCTTCCTAGCCTTGATGCTCTTTACAATTTGGCATGTTTTTGCAGTGGCTGGTACCAGTTGTTCCTTTCCATGTTTAGTGCTTCCTTCAGGAGCTCTTTTAGGGCAGGGCTGGTGGTGACAAAATCTCTCAGCATTTGCTTGTCTGTAAAGTGTTTTATTTCTCCTTCACTTATGAAGCTTAGTTTGGCTGGATATGAAATTCTGGGTTGAAAATTCTTTTCTTTAAGAATGTTGAATATTGGTCCCCACTCTCTTCTGGCTGGTAGAGTTTCTGCAGAGAGATCAGCTGTTAGTCTGATGGGCTTCCCTTTGTGGGTAACCTGACCTTTCTCTCTGGCTGCCCTGAACATTTGTTTCTTCATTTCAACTTTGGTGAATCTGACAATTATGTGTCTTGGAGTTGCTCTTCTCAAGGACTATCTTTGTGGCATTCTCTGTATTTCCTGAATCTGAATGTTGGCCTGCCTTGCTAGATTGGGGAACTTCTCTTGGATAATATCCTACAGAGTGTTTTCCAACTTGGTTCCATTCTCCCCGTCACTTTCAGGTACACCAATCAGATGTAGATTTGGTCTTTTCACATAGTCCCATATTTCTTGGAGGCTTTGTTCGTTTCTTTTTATTCTTTTTTCTCTAAACTTCTCTTCTCGCTTCATTTCATTCATTTCGTCTTCCATCACTGATACCCTTTCTTCCAGTTTATCGCATCGGCTACTGAGGCTTCTGCATTCGTCACGTAGCTCTCGTGCCTTGGTTTTCAGCTCCATCAGGTCCTTTAAGGACTTCTCTGCATTGGTTATTCTAGTTATCCATTCATCTAATTTTTTTTCAAAGCCTTTTAACTTCTTTGCCATTGGTTTGAATTTCCTCCTGTAGCTCGGAGTAGTTTGATCGTCTGAAACCTTCTTCTCTCAACTTGTCAAAGTCATTCTGCGTCCAGCTTTGTTCCGTTGCTAGTGAGGAGCTGCGTTCCTTTGGAGGAGGAGAGGTGCTCTGATTTTTAGAGTTTCCAGTTTTCCTGCTCTGTTTTTTCCCCCATCTTTGTGGTTTTATCTACTTTTGGTCTTTGAAGGTGGTGACGTACAGATGGGTTTTTGGTGTGGATGTCCTTTCTGTTTGTTAGTTTTCCTTCTAACAGAGAGGACCCTCAGCTGCAGGTCTGTTGGAGTTTGCTAGAGGTCCACTCCAGACTCTGTTTGCCTTGGTGTCAGCAGCGGTGGCTGCAGAAGAGTGGATATTGGTGAACCGCAAATGCTGCTGCCTGATCGTTCCTCTGGAAGTTTTGTCTCAGAGGAGTATCAAGCCGTGTGAGGTGTCAGTCCGCTCCTACTGGGAGTGCCTCCCAGTTAGGGTACTCGGGGGTCAGGGACCCACTTGAGGAGGCAGTCTGCCCGTTCTCAGATCTCAAGCTGTGTGCTTGGAGAACCACTACTCTCTTCAAAGGTGTCAAAGAGGGACATTTAAGTCTGCAGAGGTTACTGCTGTCTTTTTGTTTGTCTGTGCCCTGCCCCCAGAGGTGGAGCCTACAGAGGCAGGCAGGCCTCCTTTAGCTGTGGTGGGCTCCATCCAGTTCGAGCTTCCAGGCTGCTTTGTTTACCTAATCAAACAACTAACTCAGCAATGCAGGCGCCCCTCCCCCAGCCTCGCTGCTGCCTTGCAGTGTGATCTGGGACCGCTGTGCTAGCAATGAGGGAGACTCCTTGGGCATAGGACCCTCCGAGCCAGGTGCGGGATATAATCTCCTGGTGTGACCTTTTTTAAGCCCGTTGGAAAAGCGCAGTATTAGGGTGGGAGTGATCCGATTTTCCAGGTGCTGTCTGTCACCCCTTTCTTTGACTAGGAAAGGGAATTCCCTGACCCCTTGCACTTCCTGGGTGAGGTGGTGTCTCACCCTGCTTCGGCTCGCGCACGGTAGGCTGCACCCACTGTCTTGCACCTACTGTCTGGCACTCCCCAGTGAGATGAACCTGGTACCTCAGTTGGAAATGCAGAAACCACCCATCTTCTGCATTGCTCACGCTGGGAGCTGTAGACCGGAGCTGTTCTTATTTGGCCATCTTCTCTTGATTTTTTAAGTAGCATTTTGTTTTTGTTTCATGGGTACAAGATCAGCTCATCTCTGTGAGGGTATTCATGATGATTTTTTCTTTGTTTTTCTTTTCCTTGCATAGTCTCTTTTTCCTCCAAGTTGCTTTTCCTGTTTGTTTTGGTTCCTGTTTAGTATTACAAGTTTTCCTCAAATATTTGGTAATTCCTTGCTATCTGCTCCTATTTAAGAGTGGGGGACTAAAAACCTGCTTTCCAGAAGGCAAAAATCTCCAGTTAGGAGAGAGCAGAGTCTTCCCTGGGAAATAAAACCAACCCAAGGGAAGAATGCTGAAAATAGTAACAATGGGGGGGGTTCCTTTATGGAACTGTTCAGCTAGATCAGCTGACAGAGTTGTATAGATGAGAAATAATTAATGCAAAGTTACATAAATATTGGCTACTTTAATAGTATTCTCTATTTTCAGAACTGACCCTGAAACTTTCTAGTTTGCTTGATTATCACAATAGAAGCCTCTCAGTGGGAATGCTTAGTGTTGTGTTATTTTTACAAATGATTTTGAGATTTTTGAATACTTAGATGTAATCCTTTTGTTCTCTCCTACCTTTGCCCTCCTACCCTTATTTTCCTTCCATTAGGCCAGTATATTAGATAGAAGAATTCAGAGGGAATTAAAGAGTTCTTTGCAAGATTTTGCACAGATGGTCCCCTCCTCCTTTACAGGAGCAAGAGTTACCTTCAGAGTGCTTGGAGGTGATGGAGTTGGGCTTTCTTTCACCTTTCCTTGACTTAATGCCAACTGTTTTCCTGACAGCACCTCTTGTTCCAGAAACAAATGATTGGTCTGTATAGGACCACTTGCGTCATAAGACATCCTGATTTTCGTACTGAAGTTTCTCCTTCTTACTGGAATTCTGGTTGTTTAGAATCTTTTCAAGTTAGTATTTTGATTAACAGATGAAGCACAGCTTCAGGGAAAGAAATTCTGTGCCAGCTAGTCCTTTTCTTCTCCTCCCTGATGAGCTTCAAGCCATGGAAGGTAAAAGAAGGCGAGAGTGGAGGAAAAAGGTGGGTAAAATGGAAAATAAAAGTTTAATGTTTTTCTTGCATTTGTGATATCTTTTATAAGTTGAACAAAAAGTTATCTAGGCCTTTTTCCTACCACTCATCTACTGATGATATGGAAGTTATTAGTGACCGTTCCATTCAGGTGTGCATCACAACAATGCTTTTAATATCATATAGCATCATAGATTAATTGCTAGTAAGTTGCTAAGTAAGTATTGAGTTTAAAGGGCCAACATTTTTATGAGTTGTAATGGTTTGAAGAGTTAGAGGTCAAAAAGTCAGTTTGGAAAACTGAGTAGACCAGTTTAATTAAAATCAAGGGTAAATACAAGGGAGTATGGTGGAAGATAATGCTGTATAGGTAGTTTGGGGTCTTATTATGGAGGACAAGTGTAAAGATATTTGTACTTTATCATGTGACAATGTTTTTGAACAGTACCATGACATGAAAATAGAATTTTAGAAATATTAATTTGGCAGTAATATGTGAAATGGAAAGTAATGACTTCCTTTCAACAAGATATAGTAACTACCTACCATTTGCCAAGTATGATAGACACTGAAGTTACAAAGCTAAGTAAAACACAGTGTCTGCCCTTGGAAATAACTGTTCAGTAAAAGACATATTAAGAAAAATTAAGAATAAATTTGGTTAAATACAATGATAATGGTTTAGTTGAGGTGCTGTGGGAGATAGAGGAGAGGAACTGATAGGGTTTGGGTCTGTGTCCCCACCCACATCTCATGTTGAATTGTAATCCCCAGCATTGGAGGAGGGACCTGGTGGGAGGTGATTGGAACATGGAGGCAGACTTCCCCCTTGCTGTTCTCATGATAGTGAATGAATTCCCACAAGATCTGGTTGTTTAAAAGCATGTAGCACCTCCCACTTATCTCTCTCTTCCTCCTTCTCTGCCCATGTAAGACGTGCCTACTTCCCCTGCATCTTTGCCATGTTTGTAAGTTTCCTGAGGCCTCCGCAGCCATGCTTCCTGTACAGCCTGCAGAACTGTGAGTCAGTCAAACCTCTTTTCTTTTTAAATTACCCAGTATTGACTGGGTACGATGGCTCACACATGTAATCCCAGCACTTTGGGAGGCCAAAGTGGGCAGATCACTTGAGGTCAGGAGTTCGAGACCAGCCTGGGCAACATGGTAAAACCCCATCTCTACTAAAAAATGCAAAAAAATTAGCCAGGCGTGGTGACACGTGCCTGTAGTCCCAGCTACTCGGGAGACTGAGGGAGGAGAATCACTTGAACCTGGGAGGTGGAGGTTGCAGTGAGCTGAGATTGCGCCACTGCAATCCAGCCTGGGTGACGAGCGAGACTCTGTCTCAAAAATAAATAAATAAATAAGTTACCCAGTATCGGGTAATTCTCTTATAGCAATGTGAAAACAGACTAATACAGGAACTTGACCCAACCTAGTAATGCATGGAAGGCTTTTTTCCCCCCTGAGGATAAGTTATCTTAACGGCATCTCAAAAAATGAAAGAATGCAATAAAAATCAGGGAAGAACACCCCAGGCAGGGGAAACAGTAGAAAGGCATAGAAACAGGCAAACAAGTTTAGGCAACTATGGGTGTTTCTGTGTACTTTAGAATAAAGCAAAGTAAGGAAGAAAGTAGCATTAGAGGTCAGTAAAGACTTTAGATATTGTTCCTATATTCCAGGTGAGAGATGCTATAGGCCGGGACTGGGGAAGGTATAGTAGGGATGGTGAGAAAGAGATCATTTCTAGGAAATTTAGAGGTAGAATCAGTAGGATTCAGTGATTGGATGTTGGGGATGAGGGTAAAGAAGGGGCCTGGAATTGCTCTTAGGTTTCTGCCTGGGTGATTGGATGTTAACTGAGAATGAATTTGAGAGGGAGGACCCAATCTGTAGTGAACACAGTATTGGACATTTTGGCATCCAGGTGCAGCACACATTTAGATAAATATATCTAAAGCTTGAAGAGGGTTCAGAACTGGAGGCTTTTAAGGTTAGCTACCTATAAATGATTGTTCAAACCATGAGCACGAATCAGATCACTTAGGCAGCTTTTGAAGTGAAATGAAAATGGCAAATAGAGAAACAGCAAAGTTTAAGCAGCAGGTAGAGGGTGTCTAGCAATTGAGACTAATCATACCTTCTCAAAAGTGGGACAGCCAAAACAGTGGGGTCACGGAACTTGAGGAGACGATTTTATGTTCAAAATGGACAACAGTATCAAATGCTCCAGTGCAGGTCAGTAAGATAGGTACTAAAATGCTGCTAGGAGATGTGGCAATTGGGTGATCTTTGTTGCTTTGAGGAAAAAGGGAAGGAGAGAGAACATAACTAGACAGGGACACAGGGTTTAGGAAAGGATTTTGATAAAAGTGAAAAAACTGAGCATGTTCATACATTGAGAGAATGGAGATGGTAGGGGTGGTGAGAATAATGATAGCGACTAACACTTAGTGAAAATGTCCAGGCCTTCTTTAAAGGGCTTTGCATCTGTTAACTCCTTTAATTTTGATATCGGCCCTATGAATTAGATACTATTATCACCCTTCTGCTAATGAGGAGAGCTAGTCACAGAGAGATTTTTACTTGCTGAAGATGAGACAGCTAGTTAAATAGCATAACCAGGATTTGAACCCTGGGATTCTGACAAAAGAGCCTAGTTATTTACCACTGTCCTATATTGCCTTGATAGAAAGATGGAGATTGAAGATGGGAAAGAGGAGTGATATTAATGGGTCAAGATTCCAAAAGAGACTAGAAGGAGTGTTGGTCTTGAATAAGAGTATTTTATTCCAGCAGATCAGAAACTGGGGGTATAGATAGAGATGGTAAGTTTGGGGGTACAGTGGGCTGTTGTGAAGTTTAGGAAATTAATATCTAATAACATCAATTTTTTCCATCAAATATTTATTTATGAATTAACACCTTTTTATTATAAAATATAACGCATACATGGAAAACTGCTTGAAACAAATGTATAGGTTAATCATGAATTTATAAGATGTAACCACTACTCAGGTACAGAAAATAACATTGTTAGACAATCCAAAAGTGCTGCCTGTGCTCTACTCCAATTGAAATCTTTTTTCCTCTAAATGTAACCACCATCCTAACATTTATGGTAATGACTTTTTTGCTTTTCGT
Source organism: Homo sapiens (assembly GCF_000001405.40). Taxonomy (NCBI): domain Eukaryota; kingdom Metazoa; phylum Chordata; class Mammalia; order Primates; family Hominidae; genus Homo; species Homo sapiens. Next base: position 23,732,375 of record NC_000002.12, on the reverse strand, counting down.
ATAGTTTTATCACCTGTGTGCATTTCTAAACACCACATTTCAGTTTTTTTTCTCCTTTGTCATTTAAATCTCTTAATCTACAAATTCCCCCTCAGTCTCTCCTTTTTCTTTGCCATTAATTTGTTGAAGAAACCAGGTTTTGATCTATTGAATTTCCCACAGTCTGGATTTTGCCAATTGAATCCCTATGGTGAGGCTATGTTCATTTATCTTTTGTATTTCTCATAAATTGGTACTTGGATCTAGAGCTGTGCTGTTCAATATGGTAGCTATTGAGCACTCAAAATGTGGCTAGTACAAATTGAGATGTGCTGTGTCAAAATGCACAGTAATTTTGAAGATTCTTTACAAAAAATAATATGAAATATCTCATTAAGAGTTTTTTTTTTTTTGCCCCCTAGGAGACAGTCTTGCTTTGTCACCCAGACTGGAGTGTAGTTATACAGTCGTATCTCACTGTAACCTCAAACTTCTGGGCTCAAATGATTTTCCTGCCTTAGCCTCCTGAGTAGCTAGGACTAAAGGCACATGTCACCAATGCCCAGCTAATTTTTTTATTTTTCACAGAGGTGGGGTCTTACTGTATTGCCCAAGCTGGTCTTGAACTTCTGGCCTCAATCCCAAAGTGCTTGAGCCCAAAAAGATTATAGGCATGAACCACTGCACCCTGCCCTTAATAGTTTATTGATTGCATTGAAATAATATTTGATATATTGGGTTACATTTATTAAAAATAATTTCCACCTTGTTATTTTTACTATTGATAATGCAGCTACTAGAAGATTTAAATATATGTGTGGCTGGCATTGTATTTCTGTTGGACAGCACTGATCTAGAGACTTAACTCTGATTTTATTTATTATTGGTTTTTCCAAGACTGCTTCATAAGTGGTTGTGTGTTCTCATTAGGAGGCACGTAGAGTCTGGTTATCCTCCTTATTGTGATGTCATCAGTGACTGATATTTGATGCCTAAATACATTAGAGCCTGCAGAATGGTGAGTTCTAATGTAATCTTATTCCTTATTCATTTATTAGTAGAAAATGCTACCAAGAGAAATATTTCTTTGTCTATTATCTGCTTATCTAACAGTGCAAGTCACATAGGAAAGGTAAGATTAATGATAGATTCTTTGCCTTTATTAACTAGTTTTCAATGAATTTAATGAATTATTTCCTTACCAATCCAAAGGTGATGAGTTAATTTGGTATTATTATGAATTCATAGATTTAAATATATTTGATGTATTACAATGCATTGCTATTATGATGCTTATTACTGCTAAAATGGTTCCATTTTTGTCCTGTCAGAGTCTTTTCAAATTGCCCCGAGTCCTATTGACACAACTCTAGTAATCTTTGTAAGTTTGTAATCTCTGTTTCATCTGTAGTGATATCCCCTCTTTTGTTCCTGATATTGGCAATTTGTATCTTCTCTTTTTTTTTCTTGATCAGTCTCTTTTTATTTATCTTTTCAAAAAAACTAGGATTTTTTTGGTATTGTTACTTTTATTTTCTGATTTCTACACTTCTGCTTGCTTTGTGCTTAGATTCTTAAACTGAAAGATTAGATTATTGGTTTGAGAACTTTCTTTTCTAATATAAACATTTAATGTTGAAAATTTCTATTCCATACATTTTGACATGTTGTGTTCCATACATTTTGACATGTTGTATTTTCTTTCCTTTTTTTTTTTTTTTTTTTTTTTTTGAAACGGAGTCTTGCTCTGTCACCCGGGCTGGAGTGCAGTGGTGTGATCTCGGCTCACTACAAGCTCCACCTCCCAGGTTCACGCCATTCTCCTGCCTCAGCCTCCTGAGTAGCTGGGACTACAGGTGCCCACCACCACACCCGGCTAATTTTTTGTATTTTTAGTAGAGACGGGGTTTCACCATGTTAGCCAGGATGGTCTCGATCTCCTGACCTTGTGATCCGCCTGCCTCGGCCTCCCAAAGTGCTGGGATTACAGGCATGAGCCACTGTGCCCGGCCTGACATGTTGTATTTTCATTTTCATTCTGTTCAGAATATTTTCTACTTTCCCTTGAGATTTCTTCTTTGACCCCTGAATAATTTAGATGTGTATTGTTTAATTTTTAAATATTTGGGATTTCTCAGATTTTGTGTTAACAATTTCTCATTTAATTATGTGATAGTCAAAGAATATACTATGTATTATTTTAATTCATTTAAATTTATTCTGGTTTGTTTTGTTATCCAGAATGCAATCTATCTTGGTGAATGCATTCTGCATTTTTTTTACATGCACCTGAAAAAAAACTGTGTATTCTGTTGTCATTGAGTGGAGTGTTCTGTTAGTAGCAGTTATATCACATTGATTGCTCATGTTGTTCAGGTCTTCCATATCCTTGCTGATTTTCTGTCTACTTATACCAGTTACTGAGAGAGGAGTGTTGACATCTCCAAGTATAATTGTGGATTTGTCTGTTTCTGTTTTCAGTTCTATCAGTTTTTCCTTCATGTATCTTAAAGCTCTATTGTTAGTTGTATTACATTTTGGATTGTTATGAGTTCTTGGTGAATTGAACATTTTATTATCATGTAATATTCTTTATCCCTGGTAATTGTCCTTGTTCAGATTCTACTTTATTACTAATATAGCTACTTCATTCTTTTTTAAACAATAAATATTTGGATGATATAGCTTTTCTCATCATTTTACTTTTTTCCCCCTCTAGACTTTCATCTTTCCATGTATGTGTCAAAAGTCAAAATTACAACAAATTTAGTGCAAATACTTAATTTGCTTTTATTGGCAATTCTAGAATGGGGTAACATCTTATTCCATAAAACAGAATGGATATTCTGATGAGTTGCGCAGAGGAGGCTGGCTTTACAAGCAGAAAAGGGCTGCAGAAAGCAGAAATGGAACAAAAGGGAATTATTAACATCAGTTAGTTCAGGTTACTTTCTTACACGGTTAAAACAGAGGGGGACTTCCTTATGCTAGTTCAGACAAGCCGAGTCCCCTTCTGGTTAGTTGCTGTGAATCTCCTGCTTCATTTTGTTTTAATTGGCTCATTTCAAAGTTCACTGTGATTGCCTTGCACTTAATATGAATGACTCCATTCTGGTTTGGTCTGATCTTAGGACAGGAGCTCAGTCCAAAACAATAGCCTCCCACAAAATTCATTTAGCATATTTAATTTCTGATATGGTTTGGATTTGTGTCCCCACCCAAATCTCATGTTGAATTGTAATCCCCAATGTTGGAGGAGGGACCTGGTGGGAGGTGATTGGATCATGGGGACAGACATCCCCCTCACTGTTCTTGTGATAGTGAGTTCTCACAATATTTGGTTGTTTAAAAGTGTGTAGCACCTCCCCTTGCTTTCTCTTCCTCCTGCTCCTGCCATATAAGACATGCCTGCTTCCCCTTCACCTTCCGCCATGATTGTAAGTTTCCTGAGGCCTCCCCAGCCATGCTTGCAAAACCATGAGCCAATTAAACCTCTTTTCTTTATAAATTACCCAGTCTCAGGTATTTCTTTATAGTAGTGTGAGAATGAACTAATACAATTTCCTTCTTCAACAAGGAGAATTATGTCTCTTATTATCCTTCATATATAATTTGGAATTTTTTTAATTCCCCAAATACATATGAAGTAGCTAAATAAGAATTAACCCATATCACCAAAACAAACAAAAAACACCCCCTACTGACTAGAGTTCAAAATTTGATTATAGTGTTTTTTGTCTTTAGACTGAGGACATATAGTGTAAATATTGTTTTCAAAATATTAGTTGGCTTAATCTCCCTTTCCACTACCATTTACTCTGATTATGTTATTCTTTGAAACAAAATTTAGTTAGTTTCTTTTGGTTTTAGTTCATGTTAGGTTTTAAGGTTCCTCCTATCTTTGTTGACTTTTTTTCGTAGTATGTAAAATATTAACATAGTCACAAAAGTCATAACTATGCCAACAAGTTAGATCCAGAGAAGTGTCAGTGCCCCAACCCCTCTACCATGTACCAATCTCATTAGTTTATCTACCTGGTGTTTCTTTTGCTAAAATAAACAAGTGTTGTACATGCATATTTTATTTCCCCTCTTTGTTTATACAAAAGGGAACTATTATATAGATACTCCTTTGCATAGTTTCAAAAAAACTTAATAGACCTTTTTTTTAAAGCAGTTTTAGATTTACAGAAAAATTGAACATAACATACTGAAATTTCCCTTACATCTCGTCTCCCACTCCACCCCCTGCCCTATTTCCCCTATTATTAACATCTTGCATTAGTGTGATGCATTTGTTACAATTGGTAAGCAAATATTCATACATCATTATTAACTAAGGCCCACAGTTTGCATTAGGGCTCACTCTGTGTTTTACATTCTGTGGGCTTTGACAAATGTTTAATACCATGCATCCATTATTGCAGTATCATTCAGAATAGTTTTGCTGCCCTAAAACTCCCTTGTGTTCCACTTATTCATTCCTCCCTTCCTGCTTCTGACAGCCACTAATATTTTTACTGTCATCATAGTTTTGTCTTTCTAGAATGTTACATAGTTAGAATCATAGAGTATGTAGCCTTTTCAGATTTGTTCATTCACTTAACAATATGCATTTAAGGTTCCTTCATGTCTTTTTGTGGCTTGATAGCTCATTTCTTTTTAGCACTGAGCAATATTCCATTGTATGGATATGCCAGAGTCTGTTATCCATTCACCTGTTGAAGCATATCTTGGTTGCTTCCAAGTTTTGTCAATTGTGAATAAAGCTGCTACACATATTCATGTGCAGGTTTTTTTTGTGGGCATGTTTTCAACTCATTGGGTATAGGTATATATATAATAATGATTGCTGGATTATTTGGAAAGGGTACTCTTAGTTTCATAAGAAGAGCCAAACTGTCTTCCAAAGTTGCTGTGTTATTTTGCATTCTCACCAACAGTGTTCTTGTTTGTCCCACAGTTTGTCAGCAGTTAGTGCTATGTGTGGTTTGGATTTTGGCCATTCTAATAGGTGTGAAGTAGTGTTTTGTTGTTTTAATTTGTAATTCCCTAATGACATATGACGTTGAGCATTTTGTCATATGCTTACTTACTGTCTGTAGATGGTAAGGTGTCTGGTTAGATCTTTTGCCTATTTTTAAATTGTGACGCTTGTTGAGTTTTTAGAGTTCTTTGTTTTGGATACCAGTCTTTTTATCACATACATATTTTGCAGATATTTTCTCCCAGTCTGGGGTTTGTCTTTTCATTCTCTTTGCAGTCTTCATCATTTTACTTTTTAACTTATATATATTATTATATTTCAAGTAGATTGCTTTTAGAAAGAAACCTTGATCTTCTTTGGTTTTTTAAAAATCTAATCTAACAATCTGTTTTTTTAATTGGTGTTTAGATAATTTACATTTAATGTATTTTTAAAAGTTTTTGGTAAAATACACATAGCATAAAATTTGCCCTCTTAACCATTTTGAAGTGTATAGTTCAGTGGCATTAAGGACATTCACATTGTTGTGCAGCCATCAGTGGCATCCATCTCCGGAGCACTTTTCATCTTGCAAAACTGAAGCTTTGTACTCATTACACAAAAACTCCCCATTTGACCGCCTTCATATAAGTGGACTCAGGTAGTATTTTTCCTTTTGTGTCCGGCTTATTTAATTTACCATAGTGTCCTTAGGTTTCATCTATGTTGTAGCACATGTCAGAATTTCCTTCCTTTTTAAGGTTGAATAATATTTCATTTTATGTATAGTTGACCCTTGAACAACATGGGTTTGAATCATGCAGTTCCACTTATTATGTGGAGTTTCTTTCACCACTGCCACCCCTGAGACAGCAAAACCAACCCCTTCCTCCTGCCTCTCCCCCTCAGCCTGCTCAACATGAAGATGACAAGGATGATACCTCCAGCTAATGAAAAGTAAATATATTTTCTCTTCATTATTATTTTCTTAATAGTACTTTCTCTAGCTTACTTTATTGTAAGAATACAGTATATTCACATATTAACACACAAAATATATTAATCAACTGTTTATGTTATCAGTAAGGCTATTAGTCAACAGCAGGCTATTAGTAGTTAACTTTTTGGGGAGTCAAAAGTTACACATAGATTTTTGACTACACAGGAGTCAGCACCCTTAAACCTCATGTTGTGGAAGGGTCAGCTGTATATAACAAATTTTGTTTATCCACTCATCCTTTGATGGACACTCGGGTTGCTTCCAGTTTTTGGCTGTTGTAAATAATGCTATGAACATGAGTATACAAATATAAAATGAATGTGCATGAGTGTGAAGTACCCGCTTTCCTTTCTTTTGTGTGTATATCCCAGAAGTGGAATTCCATTTTTATGGATCATATAGCAATTCCATTTTTAGTCTTTTTGGGTGTGTGTGTGTAGTGTCACTCTCATTTTATTTTTTTAAGGAATTGTCATACTGTTTTCCATAGCAGCTGTATCATTTTACTTTCCCACGAACAGTGCACAAGGTTCTAATTTCTCCATAATCTCACTGATACTTATTTTCTGGGGTTTTGTTTGTGTGTGTGTTTCATATAGCAGCCATCCTAATGGTTGTTAGGTGGTTTACATTTTTACATTTAATGTAATTATTTATATGTTTGGATTTAACTCTACCATTGTATTGTAGGTTTTCTGTTTGTCTCCTCTGTTTCTTATTCCTCTGGATTCTTTCGGATTATTTAAAGTTTGAGTATTTCCTTTTATTTCTTTATTAGCTTCTTGACTGTATTTCTTCATATAGCTTTTAGGGATTTCTCTGGGGCTTACAATATACATACCTAACTTTTCACAATGTACCTAAAGTTAATATTTTTCTACCTTAAGTAATATATGGAAATCTTCCAGCCATATGTTATATTTGACATATGAATTACATACATTGAAAACTCTACTAGACAAGGTTATAATTTTTGCTTCCAATAGCCACAAATATTTTTAAGAACTTAAAGGGTAAGACATAATCTGTTATATTTACACAGACATTTATTGTTTGTGTTGCTCTTCCTTTGTTGATGAAGTCCAGGTTTTATTTTCCTTCCACCTAAAGAATTTCCTTTAGCATCTCTTTTGGAGAAGGTCTAGTAGTGACAAATTCTTAGTTTTCCTTCATTTGAGAATTTCTTTATTTTGCCTTTATTTCCGAAGAATATGTTCACCAGACCTAGAATTCTGGGTTGACAATTCTGCCCTTTCAGCACTTTAAAATGTTATTTCATGGCCTTCTAGCCTCCATGGTTTCTAATGAGAAATTCACAGTCATTTGAATTATGATTTATATATAATGCATTGTTTTTCTCTGGCTTTTTTTTTTTTTTTTTTTTTTTTGAGACAGAGTCTTGCTCTGTCGTCCAGGCTGGAGTGCAGTGGCGAGATCTCGGCTCACTGCAAGCTCCGCCTCCTAGGTTCACGCCATTCTCCTGCCTCAGCCTCCCAAGTAGCTGGGACTACAGGCGCCTGCCACCACGCCTGGCTAATTTTTTGTATTTTTAGTAGAGACAGGGTTTCACCGTGTTAGCCAGGATGGTCTTGATCTCCTGACCTCGTGATCCGCCCACCTCGGCCTCCCAAAGTGCTGGGATTACAGGCGTGAGCCACCGTGCCCAGCCTCTCTGGCTGCTTTTAAAGATTTTTTTTTCTGTCTTGATATTTGGCCACTTGATTATGATGTATCTAGGCATAGATTTCTTTGAGTTTAACCTGTTTGGGATTTGCTGATCTTTGTATATCTGTAAGTTAATATATTCTACCAAGTTTGGGAAGTTTTCAGTAATCATTTCTTTAAATCCTCTGTCTGCAGCAACATATTTCTCCTTTCCTGTTGTGATTTCAGTGACATGAGTGTTAGACCTTTCAGTATTGTCTTGAAGGTCTCTGAGGCTCTTTTCAATTTAAAAAATATATATATCTTTCTCTGTTATTCAGAATAGAGAATTTTCTTTTTACTTTTATTTTTATTATTATTTTTTAATTGACAATAATTGTACGTATTCATTGGGTACATGGGGATGTTTCAACACATACAATGTATGGTGATCAGATCAGGGTAATTAATATATTCATCATATCAAACATTTATCTTTTTTTGTTTTGGGAACATTCATTATTCTTCTAGCTATTTGAAACTATATATTATTGTTAACTATAGTCATTCTGAACTGGTATAGAACATTAGAACCTATTCCTCCTATCTAGCTGTGATTTTGAATCCTTAACAAGTCTCTCCCTATTCCTCCCTTCCCTCTACCCTTCCCAGTCTCTAGTATCTGCTATTCTACTTTTCGTTTTCATGAGATAAACTTTTTTTTAACTTCCGCAGATACAAGAGAATATGTGGTGTTTAACTTTCTGTTCCTGGCTTACTTCACTTAACATAATGTCCTCAAATTCCATCCATGTTTCTGCAAATGGCAGGATTTCATTCTTTATTATGGCTGAATAGTATTCCATGGTGTATATAACCACATTTTCTTTATTCATCTGTTGTTGGACACTTGGGTTGATTCTGTATCTGATTCTGTATCTTGGTTATTGTGAATAGTGCTGCAACAAATATGGGAGTGCAGATGTCTTTCCAATATAATGATTTCCTTTCCTTCGGTAAATTCCCAGTAGTGGGACTCCTGGATCATATGGTAGTTCATTTTCAGTTTTGTGAAGACCCTCCATACTGTTCTCCATAGTGACTGTACTAGTTTGCATTCCCACCAATGGTGTGTAAGAATTCCCTTTTCTCTACATCCTCAGTGTGGTTTTGATTTGTATTTTCCTGAGGATTAGGGATGTTGAGCATTTTTTCATATATTTGTTGGCCATTTTTATGTGTTCTTTTGAAAAACATCTGTTCAGATTCCCTCCCTCCCTCCCTCCCTCCTTTTCCTCCCTTCCTTCCCTCCTTCCCTCCCTCCCTCCCTTTCTCCTTCCCTCCTTCCTCCTTTCTTTCCTCCTCTCCCCTCCTCTCCTTGCCTCTCCTCACCTCTCCTCTCCCTGCCCCTCCCTTCCCCTCCCCTCCCATCCCCTCCCCTTCCTTTCCTTCCTTTTCTTCTCTCTTGTTTGTTGTTGCTGTTGTTTTTTGGTTGAGACAGGATCTCACTCTGTCACCCAGGCTGGAATGCAGTGGTGCAATCATAGCTCACCACAGTCTCGACTTCCTGGCCTCAGGTGATTCTCACATGTCAGCCCTCTGGGTAGCTGGGACTATAGGCACATGCCACCAAGTCTGGCTAATTTTTTGTACTTTTTGTAGAGATGGGGTTTCGCCATGTTGCCCAGGCTTGTCTCAAACTCCTGGGCTCAAGTGATCCTCCCGCCTTGGCCTCCCAAAGTGATGAGATTACAGATGTGAGCCACTGTACCTGGCTATTTGCCCATTTTTAAATCAGATGGTTTGTTTTTTTCCTGTTAAGATGTTTCCAGTTCCTTGTATATTCTAGATATTAATCCCCTGTCAGATGAGTAGTTTGCAAAGCCTGTAAGATTTCTTCTAAGAAATCTGCTGTTATTCTGATGGAGATTCTGTTACATGTGACTTGACCGTTTTCTCTTGCTGCTTTTAAAAACTTTTTCTTCTTTTTTAAATTTTGTCAATTTTATTATAATGTGTCTTGGAGAGGATCTGTTTGGGTTGAATCTGTTTGAGGTTCTTTGAGCTTCCTGGGCCTAGATGTCCATCATTCTCCCAAGACTTGGGAGGTTTTCTGCTATTATTTCATTAAATACATTTTACTCAACTTTTCCCTTTTTATCTCCTGGAATGCCCATAATATGAATATTTGTTTGCTTAATGGTGTCCTATAAATCTTCTTCATTCTTTTTTGTTCTTTATTATTATTTATTTTGTCTGTGTTATTTCAAAAGACCTGTCTTCGAGTTCAGAAATTCTGCTTGGTCTGGTTTGTTGTTAAAGCTCTCAGTTGTATTTTTTCATTCACTGAAATCTTCAGCTCCAGGATTTCTGTTTGGTTCTTTGTGTTAACTACCTCTTTGTTAAACTTCTCATGCAAATAATGAATTGTTTTTCTGATTTTGTTATCTATGTTTATTTTCTTGTATCTCACCGAGTTTCCTTAAGATTATTTTGAATTCTTTTTCTGGCGTTTCATGTATATTTCCTTATAATTGGGATCTGTTCCTATAGAATTATTGTTTTCTTTGGAGGTTACATGTTTCCTTGCATTTTCATCGTTGATGTGTCCTTATGCTGATTTCTATGGATCTAGTAGAAAAGTTGCCTCTTCCAATTTTATGGAGTAGGTTTCATAGGGAAAGATTTATTTGTATGAATGGGTCATGTCATATCAGTTTGGTGGGGGTCATTGGCCTTGGTTCTAGGTAGACACAGTAGTGTAGTCCTCATATAGTTTCTTCAGCTGCAATCCACACTAGTGGTGTTTGCAAATTTCTCAGTGGCCTAGGCCAAGAGAGTTTGTGGCAATAGTGGCCCAGCCTTGCCAGGGATGGGCTCACCAGCCTGCTTCTCAGATTGAGGGTGTGT